>NC_000015.10:84774611-84926126 GCF_000001405.40 Homo sapiens | reverse complement strand
TTTATTATATAAATAAAAAAATTAAAAGTGATATATGATAAAATAATAAAATATTATATATAGAATAAAATAAAAAAACAAAATATTATATATAGAATAAAATAAATAAAAAATAAATAGACTGATAGGCCTTCACCAAAAAAGGTTACAGTAAATTAAACTGTTACCATGAGTGGGTGAGTACCACACACTTGCCATTTGGGGGCACGTAAAGGGTTTCATATCACTTAGAAGAAAGATAAGTTATTATCGTCTTAATTCCTTTGAACATCAGTGAGCTTGAATATCTTTTTATAATTTGTGAACTATTTTCTCCTGATCAATGATTCTCAACTTTTATTAAAAAAAAAAGAGAGAGAAAGTATGTGAGTACTCAGGTGTATATACCTAAAAGCCTACTTACACAGAAAGATTTGGAATGACATTTTAGGTCAGTGGTCTCAAATTGGGCGGGCATCAGAATCACCTGTGAGGCCTGTTGCAACGCAGTATGCTGGTTCCACCCCCATCATTTCTTTTCTTTTTTTGAAACACAGTCTCACTCTGTTGCCCAGGCTACTGTGCAGTGGTGCGATCTCAGTTCACTGCAACCTCCGCCTCCCAGTTTCAAGTGATTCTCCTGCTTCAGCCTCCCAAATAGCTAGGATTACAAGCACCCACCACCACGGCCAGCTATTTTTTTGTATTTTTAGTAGAGATGAGATTTCACCATGTTGGCCGGGCTGCTCTCAAATTCCTGACCTCAGATGATCCACCCGCCTTGGCATCCCCCATCGTTTCTGATTCAGCAGGTCTAGGGTGGGCCCAAGAATTTGCATTTCTAACAAGTTCGCAGGTGATGCTGACAATGCTGGTCCATGGACCCCACTTTCAGAATAGCTGTTCTACGCTATTAAAAGCAATTACCAGGCCAGGCACCGTGGCTCATGCCTGTAATACCAGCACTTTGGGAGGCTGAGGTGGGCAGATCACAAGGTCAGGAGATCGAGACCATCCTGGCCAACATGGTGAAACCCTGTCTCTACTAAAAATACAAAAAAAAAAAAAAAAAAAAAAAAACTAGCTGGGCGCGGTGGGGCGTGCCTGTAATCCTAGCTACTCAGGACGCTGAGGCAGGAGAAACGCTTGAACCAGGGAGCTAGAGGTTGCAGTCAGCCAAGATTGCGCCACTGCACTCCAGCCTGGCAACAGAGCAAGACTCCGTCTCAAAAACAAACAAACAAAAAAAATTAATAAAAAATAAAATCAGTTACCCATGGGAAGTGGGGTTAAGAAAGAGATTTAAAAACTTATTTGTTTCTGCAATAAGCAAGAATTTCTTTGATCATTAAGGAAATAAAATTGAGACCTTTGAAGATTTGCCTGTGAAAGCACAAATGTGAAAGCATAAGGTGTTTTATGAATGTAAAGCATTATTACCGGGCATTATGTGAGGGATGCATTTGAGAATTTCCCTCTGCCCACCATGCAGTAGCATTGTGATTGCTTTTAGGGCCTAATTCACACCACTGGAATTTGACCTACAAATTCTTTGTGCTGTGTAAACTGCACAGGCAATAATTTAGGAGCAGAGGCAGGACTTGAGCCCAGAGAGAGTGTGGGGAAAGGGAGGAGGGAAGGAGTAGGACGGATCTCTAGGGACAGCCCAGGTGTGAGACTGGAGAAATGAGCACAAATTTTGGAGTCAGACAGATCTGGGTTTGGGCATCTCACTTACTCTGGAGCCTCAATTTTCTCATCTGGAAAATGGGGATATTAAAACACCTAGCATACTGCCTGGTACCTAGCATGCACTCAGTAAATGGAACACCAGGAAGCTTTGCCCCAGGTGGCCATGCGCAAAGCCCGAGCAAATGGTCCAGCCCACTGGGCTCAGGGGAAGCCACTCCTCTTGCCAGCACAGCAGGCCCAAGAGAGAAGATCTGAGGGCTGCTCTGGCCAGGAGCTGTGTGGGGCTCCCACAAAGATGGGCTTCAGGTCCTCAACATAGCCAAGCAGAAGGAGGGCTCTACCTACCCCAAAGGAGATGTAGGCACCCAGCAGGCTGCCAGCAATGGTGGCGTAACCTCCGGTCATGACAACGTGGACTTCAGAGAGTGTCATGTCTGCCAAGTAGGGCCGGATCAGTAATGGAGCCTCGGTCTGCAAACAGGAAAGATGTCAGACAAGCAGGGTGGGGGTGATTGGGCACATCCTCTCCCTTCACAGGTCACAGTGAGCAGCTGGGAGTCCCACGGTAAGAGGCAGCAGGATGGGGTAAGGACCAGGGTCTGTACTTGGCTGAGCTTCTCTGAACCTCAGCATTGCCTACCTCTACAGAAGGACCCCCATCCCTCCCTCCCGGCCTGACAATGCTCCCCTGTGTTGATGTCCTGCCACGTGCCAGGCACCCCGCTAAGCACGTCACCTTTGTTACTCACAACCTTCTGAGATAGAATTGGGTATCTCCGTTTTCCAGGAGAGCAACAGAGGTTCGGTGGGGTTCCAGGAATGACCCCTGCTCATGTAAAAGGATGTGAAGCAGGTCCTGCTGCAGGCCCAAGCTCTCCTGCAGCCACAGCGGTGGCCAAAAAGAAAGGAGCTTGGGCATTGGATGAGGGGTGCATTTCTGGGCATCTGGGCAGCCCGAAGCCCTTCATTACTCATTCAGTATCTAGTTGTTGAGCGCCTACTGTGTTCCAGGCACTGTTATATAGAATAGGAACATGGCGTCGACAGGATAAAGTCCCTGCCTTCATAGGGCTTATATCCTGGGAGCCGTGGAGGGTGGGAGGATATAGATAATCAACAAGCAACCAAGCAGGTAAGCAATGTCATTTTAGATGGTGATGAAAGCTATGAAGATATGTGTGATAATGCCTACTGGTTAGGGGTGTTTAAAACTGAGTAGGCCAGGCACAGTGGCTCACGCCTGCAATCCCAGCACTTTGGGAGGCTGAGGTGGTAGGATTGGCTGAGGTCAGGAGTTCCAGACCAGCCTGGCCAACATGGTGAAACCCTGTCTCAACTAAAAATACAAAAATTAGCCGGGCATGCTGACACATGTCAGTAATCCCAGCTACTAGGGAGGCTTAGGCACGAGAATCGCTTGAACCCGGGAGGCGGAGGTTGCAGTGAGCCCAAGATTGTGCCACTGCGCTCCAGCCTAGGTGACAGAGCGAGACTCCATCTCAGAAAACAAAAACAAAGAAACTGAGAAATCGGCAAAGCCCTCTCTGAGGAGGTGACATTAGGTTAGGGTTGGCTGAGACCTGAAGGAGCCAGTGACATGGTTTGATAGCATAGCATTCCAGGCAAGCGAATAGCAGAGGCCCTAAGGCAGCAAGAAGCTCTGCAAGGTCCAAAAGCCATAGCAGTCAGCATGTCTGCTGCAGATGGGCGCGGGGGAGCCGCCTGAGACAGAGGCAGAGGGGGCAGGTGGGCCACAGAGGGGCTAGGAAGCCACGGTGAGGGGCACGCTTGCTTAGGCAGGAGTGGAATGATCCGCTTTGTGTGTTTGAAGGGTCACTCGGGTGTATGAGTGAAGGACGGATAGTACGGGAAGGAAGAAGAGGTAGGAGGAGACGGCAGTGTCCAGGTGAGAGGCAGGTGGCCCGGGCAGCGGGGGGTTGTAGATGGGCCACAGAGGCAGCGCTGTGGGAATGCTGATAGATTGGATGCCGCAGTGGGGGAAGCGGAGGAAGGCAGGGCAGCTCTTCCAGCTCCGCCTGAACCATCCTGTGGAAGATGTTCCCACTTGCCAAGAGGGGAAGGGCTTGAGAGGGGCAGGGGTGATGAGGGAGGGGAGCAACAGTTCAGGTTGTTTGGACTTAGCGTCTTAATGTGCGACACCCCTTAGATCTCCAAGTGGACGGTCAAGGGGCCAGTTGACCTGTCAGTCCTGAGTTCATGGGAGATCAGGACTGCAGAGCAGGACCTGAGAGACATTTAAAGTGTTTAAAGCCATGGGGCTAATGTGATCCTGCAGGGAGGGAGTGTGGATGGACAAGAGCAGAGGGCCCAGGCCTGCCACAAGTAGAGAGGTTCAAATGATGCCACTGATCCCTGAAGGCTCCCCATCCCTCCCTCTTGGGGGAAATGAGGCGTAGACCCCGGCATCTAGGTCAGCTTAATCAACAGCTTGTCCAAAGTGAATTCACCTTGGCAGCGCTTCACATCGCCCAATGTCACTTTCACCTACATATTTTCCCAGCAAAACACATGGAACACATTTGCAGCCTTTCATATAGAATAACTGCTTTGCATTTTAATAGTGTTTTCCTCTTTTGCCTCATTTTGAACACCTTAAGGGATTTTTTTGACAGTTTATCTGAGAGCACGTCTATCTTCATCGGCTAAAAACAAGACAAAACTAAACAAAAAATAACCAGAACAAAAACTTTCAAATCAACACACATGCACCGTAGCAAAAAAGATAAAAATATTCTCCAAAGTTTCCTAAACTGTCCAGTGAAATATGGCATCTTCTAACCAGTGTGTCTCTTGGTGACTCAAACATTAGGCAGATGGGCCAGGACAGGCCTTGGCAGAGTCTCCAGAGGGCCATCCTCAGGGGGATCAGGCTTTCTGAAAGGGACTCGGCACCAAGGGTACTTTCAGAGTCACATTTACTTTGGAAAACACATTTTAAGAAAGAGGGAGAAAAGAAAAGACAAAATGATGCAGTGGAAAAAACTCTGACCAGAAAGAAGAAAACCTGGATTTGAAGCCGTGGCTTATATGTGTGGAATCTTGGTCAAGGGATTCCCATCCCCTGAGCCTGTTTCCTCATGTGTAAAATGAGAAACTGGATCCATCTGGAGGATTTGTGAGTCTTTGGGCTGATGAAGACCGCCTAGGGCTAGAGTGGTAAGAGAAGCCAGACAGATGACATCCTCCCTGGCATGACCCAGGCATCCCCCAAACAGAGTATCCCTGGAGCAGCAGAATTTGATGACCCTGGGAGAAGGTTCAAATGGCTCTTCCTTGGACTGAATCAGAGCTCTGGGGATCCAGGGAAACTGCCCTCTTTGGGGAAGCTGCTGATGAGCATGAGGGTAGGAGGCTTCCATACCCACCTGGCTCACAAAGATGTTTCCAGCCACACTCAGGGTCTCAGTGGCTGTGGTGCCCATGGTGACTTGCATCAGCCAGGCAATCTAGAAGGAAGCAGAATGTTCTTTGTGGGCTGACATCAGCAAACCCCAGAGTCAGAGGGGGCTGGAGTGGAAGACCTTACACAGTTTCCTCCCAACTCCCAGCCCAGTGTAGGACCCCTTCATCTACATTTTCCCAAAAGGTCCATTCATCTTCTTCTTCCACACCTTCATTGATGGGGGCTTACCCCTTCCCAAGGCCATTCATTTCACCGTAGGAATGCAGAAAGGATTTCCTGGCCCAATATATTTGAGAATTGTGAAATGCACACACACACACACACACACCCCTTGGAGATTACCAATACACATTAGCTTAGTAAAGCCTCTGAGAAGTCCTGCATTAAGCCTATTTAAATTTTCATAGCATAATGTCTAGCCTAGTTTCCCTAAATTATTTGACCATGGGATTAGGCTACCTTTACCTGGTAACATTTACTAACATGCTGTGGAACTAGAGTTTTGTGGAAAAGGTTTTGGGAAACATTCTATTAGAAAGCCCTTCCCCTTCCCCTTCCCCTTCCCCTTTCCTTTCCTTTCCTTTCCAAGACAGAGCCTCGTTCTGTCACCCAGGCTGGAGTGCGGTGGCACAATCTTGGCTCACTGCAACCTCTGCCTCCCAGGTTCAAGCAACTCTCCTGCCTCAGCCTCCTGAGTAGTTGGGACTACAGGCACTCGCCACCATGCCCGGCTAATTTTTGTATTTTTAGTAGAGATGAGGTTTCACTATGTTGGCCAGACTGGTCTCGAACTCCTGACCTCAGGTGATCCGTCTGCCTTGGCCTCCCAAAGTGCTGGGATTACAGGCATGAGCCACCACGCCCAACTAGAAAGCTCTTCTTTTTAATCAAGATGAAATCTGCTTCCCTGGAATTCTCTCCACTGCTGGTGCCTCTCAGGTTGCCCTTTGCCTAATCTCTCTTCTGTAAGTATTTGGAGACAGCTATCCTCCCCTAACTTCCTCTTCTCCAAGCTCCTCATTCCCTATTCCTTCAACCATTTTGTGGAGGGCATGGTTTCAATCCCTTTCACTATCCTGCTTATAGTTCAGTTTGTCATAGCCTCTTGGTTGAACACAGTCTCCAGGTCTGGGGAGAATCACCTCCTTTATGCTATGCTGTGTGTGCTCTTAACATAACTGCTATGGTTTGAATATCCCCACCTAAACTCATGTTGAAATTTGATTGCCAAATAAAAATATATATATATTTGATTGCCATTGTAACGATGTTGAGAGGCATGACCTTGAGGAGGTGATTAGGGCATGAAGGCTCTGCCCTCATGAATGGATTAATGCTGTTATTGCAGGAGTAGTTTGGTTATCATGGGAGTGAACTCCTGATAAAAAGGATAAGTTTGGCCCTGATCTCTCTGTGTCTTGTGTGCTCACTTCTGCCTTCTGCCCTTCCACCATGTTATGACACAGCAAGAAGGCCCTTACCAGATGTCAGTGCCATGCTCTTGGCCTTCCCAGCCAAGGTTTCAATCTTGAAACCATACCCTCTATTTGGCCATGAGCCAAATAAATCTCTTTTCTTTATAAATTACCCAGTCTGTGATATTCTGTTATAGCAACAGAAAATGAACAAAGATAATAACCACAGGTTGTTTTTGCATTTCTGGAAGCCATCTGATGTTGCTGATTTATTCTGAGCTCAATCAGCTAAAACCTTGGAATCTTTTGCCAAGTCCAATGCTATCTGTTGCTGTCCAATGCTATCTCCTACATCCTAGTTTTGTGCAGCATATTTTATGAACATAAGCACAGGATCTGACATTTATACCAGCTAAGTCTGGCCAACATGGTCCACTGCTACAGTCTCTCAATATCTTTTCGGTATAAATTATTTTCTTCCCTCTACACCTTTTCAGTGCCGCCTCAAAACTGCAACCTTTCCTCTAGCAAGGACCACATTAGACTTTGGTGCTATTTCTCTTTAGTATCATGACAGGAGACCCTGGGAAAGGACATTTGGTCAGCACTAGATTCTGTGAGGGTGAAGATCCTGGAAGCAGGGGATTCAGGGAAGGTATGGGCCTCAGGAGCAAAGGATTCTAGGAAGGTGTGAACTCTAAGAGCCAGGGGTTCAGGGAAGATATGGACTTCAGAAGCAAGGGATTCTAGGAAGGTGTGAACTCTAAGAGTTGGGGATTCTGGGAAGGTATGGGCCTCAGGAGCAAAGGATTCCAGAAAGGTGTGGAACTTGGCAGCTGGGGATTCTGGGAAGGTGGAGGCACTGGGAACAGGGGACTCTGGAAGGGTGTGGGCTTGGGGAGCAGTGTGTCTGGGGAGGTTTGGGCTCTGGGAGCAAGGCATTCTGGGACAGTGTGAACCCTGTGAGCTGGTGACTCTGGGAGAGCCCTGGCCATGGGCACTGGGAACTTACCTTCAGGATCACCCACTGCATGAGGCCCACGTGGTAGAGAACGGATATGACACAGCTGAAAAAGACAATGATGGGCAGAACCTGCCGGGAAGGAGATCATAGGACCGCAGGTTAGAGGCAGGCAGGATGCAGGGTGCCAGGCGGGGCCCAGGAGACCCCAGACAGCCCACTCCATCCCAGGCCTTGCCACTCAGATGCCTGACAGGATCCGGGAAGATGCTCTGAGATCAGTGCATGAAGTCCCAGGGTTCCACATGCAGGGCCTCTTTGGAGGCAGCCTTGTCCTCTCGGCTCCCCTCTAAATAGTGACCAGCCGCCAGACCACCCCCTCTCCTCAGCACAGGTAGGCCTGTGCTGTGGTAGGGTGGGGCCTGAGTGTACCACTTTTATCTCCTGCTTCTTTGTCTCTAAAAGGGGAGTAAAATGCCCACATCTGAGGGTCGTTGTGAAGGTGGCAGTGTGCACCCTTCTCCATGAGCTCAATCCTTGGCCTCAGACTCTGGCCTTAACCTCCCTCTCATGCTTTGGGCCTGAATGAGGGGACCCTCATCATTTTGGTGCTCCACTTCTGCTCAGCACCAACATGCTCAGAATTAGGCTTATCCCGGACCTGAGCCAGCATCTCCTCCCATCACCCCATTTCCTATTATTAGTACCAGGCTTAACACTCCTCTTCCTTCACTCCAAGCTCACCCATTCTCCCTTTAGAATTTCTCTCACACCCATTCCCTCTTTTCCAGGCCCATGGAAAAGGAGGTTGCTTTTCTGCACCCTAGTCTTTCTTTACTGTAGTCTGATGTTTAGTAACAAACTGGCAAAAAATGGAGAGGTCTTTTAGTGGAAGACTAGTTTCATCACCTAGGATACAGACATACCCTAGTGCACTAAAGGTCAGGAAACAAGAATGCAGAAGCTCTCTATGGGCAGCTGTGGACTGATTTCCAAGATATGTTGTTAAATGAAAAAAGAGAAGGTGTACCACAAGAGTGTATGCTATGCTGTTATGTGGGTTTAAGAAGGGGGTGGGGGGTAGCCATGCATGATGGCACATGTCTATAGTCCCAGCTACTCAGGAGGCTGAGGCAAGAGGATTGCTTGAGCCCAGGAGTTCAAGGCCAGGCTGGGCAACATCGTAAGGTCCCCTACCTCTCCAAAAGCATGTGTGTGAGGGGCGTTGTGTGTGATCTTGTATAGGCACAGGAATCATTAGAAGGATGTGCAAGAGGCCAGCAACAGCAGGTGCCTTGGGGAGGGAACTGAGTGCCTTGGGGGCCAGGGATGAAAGGAAGTTTTCTTTTTTACCTTATACCCTTTTGTGTTGGAATGTTTGCTCTATTCTGTGTCCTGTGTTCCCAACAGTTTAAAATAGTCATGTAGAACTGGTAATAGCATGGGAGCAGTCTTATGCTACAATGTTAAATGGGAAAATTGGAATATTAAAATTATAGAAAGAAGCACTCCCAAATAGCCAAAGGATTTGTTTCTATGTGCTGGGGCTATGGAAATGTTGTTTTCTTTTTTCTTTATTTCTGAATTTCTCATCTGTTCCTACCTTTTTTATTTATTTTTTTTTTTTTGAGACAGAATCTCACTCTGTTGCCCAGGCTGGAGTACAGTGGTACGATCTCGGCTCACTACAGCCTCCGCCTCCTGGGTTCAAGTGATTCTCCTGCCTCAGCCTCCCAAGTAGCTGGGATTACAGGCGCTTGCTGCCACACCCAGCTAATTTTTGTATTTTTAGTAGAGACAAGGTTTCACCATGTTGGCCAGGCTGGTCTCGAGCTCCTGACCTCAAGTGATCTGCCCACCCCATTCTCCCAAAGTGCTGAGATTACAGGCGTGAGCCACTGTGCCCAGTTGTTCCTAGAATTTTCAATAATAGGTGGACATTTCTCAAGGGAAGGAGCATAGGCAGGAGAGGTTTGTGGGAAGATCAGTTTGGCTTTGAACTTTGAATTTGAGATGCCTGTGGAATACCAAGTGGGCAGCTGGATAAAAGGGTTAGGGACATCTGGGCCAGGCTTTGGCTTGGGGCTCTTTCATAAGAAGTACAGGTTGGCCCAGCATGGTGGTTCATGCCTGTAATCCCAGCACTTTGGGAGGCCGAGGCAGGAGGATTGCTTGAGCTCAGGAGTTTGAGACCAGCCTAGGAAACAAAGCAAGGCCCCCATCTCTACATAAACAAATTTTTTTTTAACAGCTATGTATGGTGGCACACACATGTGGTTCCAACTGCTCTGGAGGCTGAAGTGGGAGGATTACTGGATTCCAGGAGTTCGAGGCTGCAGTAAGTCATGATCATGCCACTGCACTACAGCCCAGACAACAGAGTAAGACCCCATGTTTGAAAAAAAAAAAAAAAAAGTAATCCCAGCACTTTGGGAGGCCGAGGCAGGTGGATCATTTGAGGTCAGGAGTTCGAGACCAGCCTGGCCAACATGGTGAAACCCCATCTCTACTAAAAATAGAAAAAAATAAGCCAGGGGTAGTGGCGGGTGCCTGTAATCCCAGCTACTCGGAAGGCTGAGGCATGAGAATCGCTTGAACCCGGGAGGCAGAGGTTGCAGTGAGCCGAGATCATCCGACTGCACTCCAGCCTGGGGTGACAGAGTGAGACCCTGTCTAAAATAATAATAATAATAAGAAGAAGAACAACAACAACAACAACAACAACAGGTTGAGGTGGCTGGTGGATGCAATTCACTGCAGAAATAGCCCTGAGTGAGAAGAACAGGAGCTAAGGACAGGGCCCTGTGGTCAGTGTGTCATTAAAGGGTGAGAGGGGAAGGAGGAGCCTGTGAAGGAGACAAAGAAATAGCCAAGGGCTGGAGGACGGCCAGAAGAGAGGCAGGATGGAAACCGAGGGGCAGCTTTTCAAGAAGGGATAGTCACTAGCACTGTGTCAGGGGCATCAGAGAACTCTGGAACGGTAAGGACTGAGCCAGACCCCTGGGACTTAGCAACTTGGAGGCACCCATGATCTAGGTGAGAGCAGTGTCAGAGGAAGCGTGGGGACTGAGGCTGATGTCAGTGAGCCAAGGTGGAAGTGAGACATGAAGAAGGGGAGACCACAAGAATGGACAGCCCTTGCAAGAAGCAGCACTGTGCTCACTGCCGGAGACTGGTGAGGGCCCGGCAAGGGCTGCTTTTATTTTTTAAGGAGGGAGAGTCTTGAGCAACCAAATTTAGGCTCTAGTTCAAAGTGAACTGGGATTACAGAATGGACCCTGAAGAGAATGGAGATTCTGCCCGGGCAGCTGGGAGGCAAGCCCTGCTGAGGCCTTTTCTTTCTCCTGTCCCTTCCCAGACCAATGCTGCAGGTTGTATCTGGACTTGCTCTGCTGTCATCTGTCACCAACTTCCCTGTGGTGGGGAAGTCACCCGACAGAGAACACCAGAACTGTGCCCCGTGACTCCTCCTCCCGCCTGGGGCTAGAAACACCTCCAGCACGGGTAGGATGACATCATCCCACACTCCTGGGACTGAGATGCAGAGAGAGTCACGTACTGTCTAGACTGCTTGTCCAGTGGATCCTGAGAGGGACTGCAGGGCAGCTAGCAGGCCTGCAGGGATGGGCCCACGCCAGGAAGGAGAGTGCCCGGGGCATCAGGACCCCACTGCAGCATTGGGACTTTCTCCTGCCAGCAATCAAAAGATTTTCTATCTGTGAGACGGAGAATGGTAGAAGAGAAGCTATGTTTTGGATTAAGTGGGGCCTGTCTAGGGAGGGGAGGGGAATGAAAGAGAAAAGAGGTGGCCCCAATTTTCTAAGGTAGGATAGAATATTAAATAAGGTCCCTGTGGCCAATATCATCTTACAGCCCAGGAAACACCTCTGGGGCCTGCAGGATGTGAGGTGGCAGAACAGGGCAGCAGCTCGAGGCAGTGCTGCTGTGGAAAGGGGAGGCAAGTGCCATTAAATTCCACTGTGTGCCAACCACGAGGGCTTGTCCTGGGCCAGGTCCCTAATATGTGGGGACTCATGAATCCTCATAGCATCTGTGGTGGATGTAACTGTCGCCACTTCACAAATGGGCACACGGAGGCTGTGAGATCTTGGCTACCCACCCGAGGTCACACACCTGCAAAGAGGCAGATGCATTTCCCAGCCACCATGCAGATTGCCAAGGTCCTGCCATGCCCCTTGGGAGGTTTGCCCTGGGAACAGTCCTGGAGGCTTGTTTCTCTGCCTTCAGGGGCAGCATGCATCCCTGCTGGAAACTGAATGTCTGTGTCCCCCTAAATTCATATATTGAAACCAAATTCCCTAGGTGATGGTATTAGGAGGTGGAGCCTTTGGGGGTGATTAGGTTATGAGGGTGGAGCCCTCATGAATGGGATTAGTGCCGTTGTAAAAGAGGCACAGTGGCTCACGCCTGTAATCCCAGCATTTTGGGAGGCTGAGGCCAGAGGATCCCTTGAGTTCAGGAGTTCAAGACCAGCCTCGGCAATATAGTGAGACCCTGTATCTACCAAAATTCAAAAAAATTAGCTGGGCATGGTGGCATGTGCCTGCAGTCCCAGCTATTCTGGAGGCTGAGGCAGGAGGATCACTTGAGCCAAGGAGATGGAGGCTGCAGTGAGCAGTGATCACACTACTGCACTCCAGCCTGGGCAACAGAGTGAGATCCTGTCTCAAAAAAATAAAAATAAAAAATAAAAGAGGCTCCAGAGAGCTCCCTCACCTCTTTTACCATGTGAGGACACAGACGACCAAGTAGGCAGAGAGCAAAGTGGGCCTCAACAGAATTCAACCTTGCAGGGACACTGATCTCAGACTTCCAGCCTCTAGAAGTGTGAGAAATAAATTTCTGTTGCTTGTAACCACCCAGTTTATGGCCTCCTGGATGGACTAAGGCAGTCCCCTTCAAGGAAGAGCCAAGTAAGTCCTGACCACTGCCTTGTAGAAATGGCTTTGGAGGCTGGTCCTGCTAGTACCATAACTCAAGGAAGAAGGAAATTCTAGCTCTTCTAGGCCAGTGGTTCTCAGCACGTGGACCAGCAGCATCCTTTGAGAATTTGCTAAAAATATTTTGGATTTAATAGGTCTACAGTGGGGCCTGATGTTTGGCCTTTCCAGATGCTGCTGGTGCAGCTGACCTGGACACCACACTCTGACAACCACAGCCCTGGAGACTAGATTAGACGCTCTGAGCAAACTTCATCACCTGGGCCAAGAAACAGGCTTTGAAGGCCAGATAAACCCCACTAAGGACATGGCCTGCCCCCTCCTCTCCCTGGAGGAAGCTGAGCCAGGGCTCCTGCTGACTTTCTAAGGCTGTCTGGGCAAACCCTCATGTCTCCAGACCCCAAGGCTTGAGCACTGTCGACAGTGCCCTGTCACCAGCCCCAGGCCACAGTGAGCCACTAAAACCCAAAGCTGGAAGATGCTCGGGGCAGCAGCTGTGGTGCACACTGTACCAGTACCACCGCCAGAAAGTGGAAGGGACTCATCTCCAAGTCCAGAGTAGCTGCATTTCTGGCTGTAACCTAGCTACGCCTCCTGATTTCCTGTTTGTGCCATCCCTTTGCCCAGAATGGCCTCAGCATTTTGCCCCTCATTCCCATTTCTGCCTGGATCCTGGGTTTTCAACAAGATGCCTCCTGCCTCGGCTGTCCCATCTCCCTTCTTTCAGCCATCCCACCCCAGGCTTCATTTACTTCCCATTCCCTTCACCGAAAACCATGCTCACTAAGGTTACCAGTTACCCCTTAACTACCAAATCCAATGATACCTTTTGGTCCTTATTTGATCTGTGTGTGTGTGTGTGTGTGTGTGTGTGTGTGTGTGTGTGTGCGCGCGCGCAAAATTTGGCACTGTTGACCACTGGGGACTGCAGAGTCTATATCAGACATCCCGAAACTCTCAGGAGATGAAGACATTTTCCTTGACCCTAGGGGTTCCTCCAGAGAAAATCTGAGCAGCACTGCTAAGCTTAGCAGTGGGTGCTTGTTCCAGAGGCTAGAACAATAGTGAAAGAATGAGAGTCTGCTCCCGGGTCA
This sequence comes from Homo sapiens, assembly GCF_000001405.40. Lineage (NCBI taxonomy): Eukaryota > Metazoa > Chordata > Mammalia > Primates > Hominidae > Homo > Homo sapiens. The sequence goes on along the minus strand of NC_000015.10, from coordinate 84,912,600 downwards.
GCCAGACCCAGGGGAGTATGATCATGCGGGTGGAAAGTTACTAGAAGGGAGACAGAGCCAAGGTGGAATGACTAATCCAGCTGATACAGCCAAGGGGTGACTGCCACGTCCACTGTGCTGGACTCCAGGTCCAGGGCAAGCTGAGGGCTGAAGAAGCCCTAGGGAGAGACTTTACTTCCCCCCAGAAGAGAGCAGCTGGACCATGGCCCAGCAGGAAGCAGCTTGGATTCTGAAAATCTGAGTGAGCTCAGAGAAGACTTCCCCAGACTGAAACTGGCCAAAGGCCTTGGACTAGGTCTGTATGATTCATAGAAAGAATAGAGAGAACTTCCTGAGTCTTCTGTTCAGCTCAGCATTCAACAAAACCACCCCTACCTTGAGGGCAAATCCCAATAATATGTGTGTGATATAGGGGAGAGGGGGAGGCTGAATAAAATGTTGTGATTAGTGAGAAAGAGAATTCTGTGGCCACAGAGCATTTATCCTAGTCCTCCTTCCTCTTTCCTGGCATTGCTATGGATGGTGCATCAGCCAATACACGGTCCAGGAATTTGTCCAGAGGACAGGGCCTACCAGGGGCCAGGAAACTGCTGGTGTTTCGCTGGGAAATGCTGAGGCTGGTTAATGATAAACCCACCTCACTATCATTTTTGTCTTAACCGAACATTCAACTTCAAAGTTTTTTGCCACCACTGATACATTTTTATTTTCTTCTTCTTCTTCTTTTTTTTTTTTTTTTTTTGAGATGGAGTCTCACTCTGTTGCCTGGCCTGGAGTGCAGTGGTGCAGTCTCCGCTCACTGCAACCTCCGTCTCCCAGGTTCAAGTCATTCTCCTGCCTCAGCCTCCTGGGTAGCTGGAATTACAAGCGCCCGCCACCATGCCTGGCTAATTTTTGTATTTTTAGTAGAGATGGGGTTTCATATTGGCCAGGCTGGTCTCGAACTCCTGAACTCAAGCGATCGAACCACTTCAGCCTCCCAAAGTACTGGGATTACAGGCGTGAGCCACCACGCCCAGCCTAATGGATACATTTTTAAATGATCATTTTTGTTATTCAGAGTGCTTTTTGTATTTGGAGGAGAGACATGAGGCCGTTGATTTCTGCTGATAGTATGAGGAAGAATACATCCCTTAACCAGAAGTCCAGTGGAGGGGTTCTAGCTCTGGCTCTGCGCCAACTCACTGTGCCATTGCGGCCAACACACTGCTCCTGTCTGGAGCTTGGCTGGACCATCAGTAATACAAAAGGGAGGCCGCAACACCACTGAGCTCCCTCCTGGTACCAATGGTCAAGGAATCCATGATTCTAAAGGGTGATTCAGGGAGAGATGCAAGCAGCAGGTGTGTACACATCCTTCCAGAGAGGGAGGCAGGCTGGGAGGAGACATAGCTAATGTGGCCAGGGGGCAGACACAGAGGCAAGCCCAGCAATGACGCAGGAGAGACGCGGGCCAGTGGTGGGCGGGGGAAGGCGCTCTGGCGGACAGCAGCTGCGTGGCCCGCCGGGCACCTCTTCCCCTGCTTTTTGGCTAACGAGGCTTTAATTTCCCTTTGGGAAACAGCTTACCTGCCTATCCACTGAACTCTGCCCTGCACTGTGGACACGCCAGCACATTCTCACCTCCATGCTTTGCCCATGCCATTTCCTCTTCCTGCCTAGCTCAGTCTGTCCAAATCTCTTCTGTCCTAAACTCCATGTCAAATGCTGCCTCCTCAAGGAGTCTCCCTCACGGTCTCTTATTAGAAGAATCTCTCCTTATACGCACTCCTCAGGCCCCTCCGTTACTGCACTTGAACGCAGCTGCCTGGGGAGGTTGAACTGCAGAGTGTCGGGTGTGTGTGTTTTTGTTTTGTTTTGTTTTGTTTTGTTGAGATGCAGTTTCGCTCTTGTTGCCCAGGCTGGAGTGCAATGGCATGATCTCAGCTCACTGCAACCTCTGCCTCCTGGGTTCAAGCGATTCTCCTGCCTCAGCCTCCCAAGTAGCTGGGATTACAGGCATGCACCACCACACTTGGCTAATTTTGTATTTTTAGTAGAGATGGGGTTTCTCCATGTTGGTCAGGCTGGTCTCAAACTCCCAACCTCAAGTGATCCGCCTGCCTCAGCCTCCCAAAGTGCTAGGATTACAGGCATGAGCCACCGCGCCCAGCTGAGTGTGTGTGTTTTAAAGTGTAAGAAGCTGCGGGAGCCTCCCTGCCTGGGTGGACGCCAGAGGTCACCCTGAAGCAGACCTTACTTGTCTTTTCTGAAACTTCGGGTACCCCCGCATTGGTTATGCAAAGGTAAGGGAGCAGCTGCTCGTTACCCTAAAGGAATATGGTATTAGGGGCCTTTGCGGGGCTGACATAGGCTCCCCCTCCCAATATTCTCCCTATGCAGAACTGGTCTCAGAAAACATGATGGGCAAATTTGCCCAGGGGGCAAGAAGACTTCAGAGAAGATAGGAACCTGGGCCCCTCCCTTTCCTCCTAGGGCTGACGATGTTAGACTGGACATTCCCTAGGAGTCTGCTGGCACAAGAGATGCTAAGGCTCCAAGGGGAGCTCACCAGAGGTCAGGGTCAGGGTCAGGGGTAGGCAGGAGGGTCTGAACTCATGATCTGGCTCAACGCCAGCCCAGAAGTCCATAGCTAAGTCCATGGCTTGGGCCAAAAGTCTCCTGGGTCCAAGACCCCCAGCAGGGTGGGGAGACTCTGGGAACAGTGGCCAGCATAATGAAAAACAGAAGAAACCTCTGGAACCTGCACATGGGGTCTTGCATAGCAGCTCCATGGTGATGGCGGTCCCGGATGTACCAGAGTGGGCAGCCCTGATTTCCCTCTCAGTGCCACGCATCAGTGGCAGAAAACTGGGGCCAACTACTGGGTGAGTGGGGCCCAGGTCTCTCTCTTCTGCCTGGCAAGGGAGCTTAAGCCTAGAGCAAGCTGGTCTTAGACAGTTGGAGTGTAAGACAGGCAGAGGAGGGCTACACTAGAGTTCTTACTAAACAAGCCATTTCGGTGCTTAAACAATGAACTAGGGAAAAAAGAATACAACCACAGCTCCACCCAGAACAGTGAAGCAGTCCCACCAGTAGCATCCTCATCCTCCGCACAGGCTGACCTGTTTTTAAATTAGGGTTGGGGCTCCACCATTAGACAATAAGGTCTTTGAAACAGAACAGTGCCTTTATCTCCATTTCCCCTATAATATTTTGCAGTGCAGTAAATGTACAATAGATTTTTGTTGGAAGAAAGAAAGGAAGGATGGATGGAGGCTGGGAGGGAGGGAAAGTGGGATCGTAGGTTGAGGAGGTCACAAAGGAGGGAGCTATTGCAGCGGGACTAGTAAGGGCTGGCTTCCTGGCAGAGGTGGCCTGTGAGGGGCCCTGAAGGAGGAGCGCCTGAGAGGATCATTTGAGCCTAAGCCTTCCTGGAAACTGCTCTTTCTGGGCCCAGAGTCTCTGCAGCACATCAGGGACTAAGGTCTCAGCAGGAGCTGTCCCCATGACCCCTACCCCCACTTCTTGTCCTCAGCTACTCAGTAATTCTATAATTTGGAGGTTCATCTCTAAAAAAAAAAACATACAGAAATATCTTACTTTTGCAAATTTTACAAAATATAGCAAAAACATCTCATGAGGTGAACATTGCTGGGCTCCTCCCGGGCCCCAGGCTTAAGGTTCACTAACTTCCCAGTACGGCGACCTCTGCCCACAGGACTCCTCCCCTCCACCTGGGCCCCCACCATGCCCAGACTCCCCTCTAGCTGGAGTCGCTGGGCGGTGGCTGCTAAAGGCCTCTGGGACCCTGAGTCAAGCTGACCTGAAAGGCAAAGACATCCTTGACCAGCGCCTCCCCAAACACGAAGCTGGAGCCAGCCTTCGTGTAGCTCAGGAAGATCTGAAAGAAAAAAGCAAAACAAACAAAAACAGGCAGTGAGGCTGGGAAGGGAGGAGGGAGGAAGCAGCGGCCAGAGACAGGCGGGTTGGCCCAGGGACGTAGTCCCCCCAGGCCCTTATCCGGGGGGGGGCACCACCTGGCAAGGTGCGTTAAAGCTGCTGTCACGGGCACTCACTCCTAAGCATATTTGCCAAAGAGACACCTTTTTGGTCAATTTTAAAGATATGCTCTGCAGGCTGGGTGCAGTGGCTCACACCTGTAATCTCAGCACTTTGGGAGGCTGAGGCAGGCGGATCACCTGAGGTCAGGAGTTCGAAACCAGCTTGGCAAACATGGTGAAACCCCATATCTGCTAAAAATACAAAAATTACCTGAGCATGGTGGTGGGCACCTGTAATCCCAGCTACTTGGGAGGCTGAGGCAGGAGAATCGCTTGAACCCGGGAGGCAGAGGTTGCAGTGAGCCAAGATTGCGCCACTGCACTGCAGCCTGGGCAACAGAGCGAGACTCTGTCTCAAAAAAAAAAAAAAAAAAAAAAAGAAATGCTCTGGGAGTTATTAGGACAATAAAGAAGAGATAACAGAAGAAGTAACCATGAGACATGTGAAGAAGGCAGTGCCTCTTGTGCCGCTCAGGCCCCTGACAACCAACGGCAAAGTCTCCCCTCATCTTGTCCCCATCCCGGGCTTGTGGCCTTGGAGTCTGAGCCCAGCCATGCTTCTACAGGAGACCTGTGTTATATCCTGAACTTGCAATGTGACTGCAGGGGCAGCAAGTCATTTCTCTTGTTCAGGCCTCAGTGTTCCCATCTATAAAATGGGGACATGACCAGAAAAGAAACTCTCTGTCTTTTCCTCCACACCCTGTACAGTTACTGTCAGTGAGGCCAGCAGGTGTGCACATTCCTGGACCGGCAGGGTTCTCATGCTCCACCCTGCACAGAGCACAGGGAACTGCAAGCTGGTGAGAGGGAGGTGAGTAGATTAACATATTTAACCTATGTCCTTGATGATTTATATTTTTTAAAGTGGTAAAAATACAAAAATTAGCCAGGTGTAGTGGCTCATGCCTAGAGTCCCAGCTACTTGGGAGGCTGAGGTGGGAAGTTCCCTTGATTCCAGGAGGTCGAGGCTGCAATGAGCTAAGATCACGCCACTGCACTCCAGCCTGAGTGATGGAAGTGAAATCCTGTCTCAAAACTAAACTAAACTAAACTAAACTAAAATTAAAAAAAGGCCAGCATGGTGGCTTATGCCTATAATCCCAGCACTTTGGGAGGCCAAGGCGGGCAGATTACTTGAGCCCAGGACTTCAAGACCAGCCTTGGCAACATGGTAAAACCCCATCTCTACCAAAAATAGAAAAATTAGCTAGTCTCATAACCTGGTTTCAAAATAAATAAACAAATAAATAGATTTAAAAAAAATTCTAAGTGTTAAATAAAGGAGACCATTAGTTTAGACTGAGCTCCTGCACTACTCCCAACAGACCAAACCACAATGGAATCACTCATGCTATAAAGTTCCACATCACAAGTCAAAACTAAGCTGTCTTCTGACCTTCCAAAAAATCAGGAGAATGAGACAGATAGCCAAATCCCCAAATGCAGCATGACAGGCAGTCCCCTCAGCTGTGACCTTTATAAGGAAAGTGACCTTGAAACAACCAATCTGCTATTTATTTTCTGTTTCTGCTTTCTTCAGCCTTTCTCTGTCTATAAAGCCAACCTCCTCCACTCAACTCATCGGAACACCCACTCTATTTTTATAGAATGAGGTGTTGCCTAATTCTAAAATCACAAATAAAAGCCAATTAAGATCTTTAAACTAAATTTGTTCTAATTTTCTTTTGACAAAAGTAAATCATGATAGTTGCAAAACAAGTGTGCATGAATTTAATGATACTTAAAGGGGTTAAAATGGTTGATTTTATGTTATGTATATTTTACCAAAATAAAAAACAGAATTGGCTGGGCACCGTGGCTCAAGGTGAGATCACTTGAGCCCAGGAGTTTGAGACCAGCCTGGGCAACATAGGGAGACCCTGTACCTAAAAAAAAAAAAGAAAGGAAGGAAGGAAGAAAGGAAGGAGGGAAGGAAGGAAGGAAGGAAGGAAGGAAGGAAGGAAGGAAGGAAGGAAGGAAGAAAGAAAGAGAAAGAAAGAAAGAAAGAAAGAAAGAAAGAAAGAAACAAACAAACAAACAAACAAACAAACAAACCATGTTTTAATTAGCTTGGCATGGTGGCTTACACCTGTAGTCCCAGCTACTCAATACTGGGGAGGCTGAGGTGGGAGGATCACTTGAGCCCAGGATGTCAACGCTGCAGTGAGCCATATCCACACCACTGCACTCAGCCTGGATGTCAAAGCAAGACTGTCTCAAAACAAAACAAAATGGGCCCAGGTGTGGTGGCTTACACCTGTAATCCCAGCACTTTGGGAGGCCGAGGCAAGCGAATCGTCTGAGGTCAGGAGTTCGAGACCAGCCTGGCCAACATGGTGAAACCCTGTCTGTACTAAAAATATAAACATTAGCCAGGCATGGTGGTGGGAGCCTGTAATCCCAGCTACTGGGCAGGCTGAGGCAGGAGAATTGCTTGAACCAGGGAGGTGGAGGTTGCAGCAAGCCAAGATTGCACCACTGCACTCCAGCCTGGGTGACAAAGCGAGACTCCTTCTTGAAAGAAAAAAAAAAAAAAGAACAAAAATGTATAACTTCAATAAACGTTATTTTTAAACACACACACACAGAAGTAAATCATTTGCAGATTTGGGTTTTTTTTTTTAGCACTTTTAACTATTACAATTTCCAAGTTACTGCTGATTGCAGACCCAGCCTCTGGAAAGACTACTCTATTGGGACCTCAGTACCAGGCATGAGGGAAGTGGCAGCTGCACTGCCTGGTCCCCAGCTGCCCACCTGGTCTGGGGCCCCAGTCCACCCCACCCTCCAGGTCCCAAGCCTTCTCTATGGCCTCACCACCCACTTTTCCCCCTGCCAAGTGGCTTCTCCCCTACTCCCAGTAATCTAAGATGCTCTGGGCAGCCAGACCCCACATACCTACCCGGATCTGCTCGCCCAGCCACTCGAACGCAATGAATCCTGGTTCTGTTCTGATGACGAGGAGTCCAAGTACAAACTGCAGTCCAAGTCCCCAAGACACGGCCCTCCAGGACACCTACCACCCCACCCAACAGAAAGCTGAGTTCAGTTCCTTGAGGGATGGGCAGGGAGCCGGGTGGGGGTGAGAGCAGGGGGCATTGCCCTGCCCAGAGGATGGGGCTGGAGCCAGGCAGAGTACTAGGCCTGTTGCCAGTGGTCACACCCTCCCTGGGATTCAGAACAGGCCATGTGCTTGGTAGGAATGGGCCTGGGCAGTGAGGAGGGGTGGGCCAAGATTCTAACCAAGAACTCAGGTGAAACCGGACCAGCCTTGGGCATGCCATGGCACTTCGTCTCCTGGTCATCACTGCCAGAGATGTGGCCTGGGGGTCTGGCCTCAGGATCAGCACCAGACTACTCTGGGCCCAGCTCCTCCCAGCTCGTGTGAACCCTGTCTGCCTGACCGTCTCCAATCTCTCCTCCAATAGGCTGGACTCCCAGCCGCCTCGACCCCGACTCTCTCCATGCCCACACCCCACGCCCCTCCTAGCAGACAAGAGCTGGGCTCCTCAGGTTGCTGTTCCTTGATGAGCATTTAATAATTCCTTAGCAGTGAGTCCAAGCTCAGGTGTGTATCATAAGCTCCTGGGAGGCTTGGCTGTAGCCTGGGGAAGGTGGTAGCCACACTGTGAAACAGGGAGGGATCTTATGCTATGGAGGCAGAGAGAGAGAAGATTCCATCTGCCTATGGCAGGGCCCTCCCAAATGGGTGCGTGGCTGCCTGAGTGTACATCAGAATTTAGTACACATCAGAATTTAGTACACATCAGAATTTAGTACACATCAGAATTGTGCTTGCTGACAGGATGATTGCTGCCCTTGCCCCTGAGTTTCTAATGCAGTGGGCCTAGGGTGGGGCCTAAGAAGTTACATTTCTGGCAAGTTCCATGGAGGCGCCGCTGTTGCTGGACTGGGGAGCAGACTTTGAGAAGCACTATTTTAAGCTAATGATTCCAGGAAACCCTTGGCTCTGCAGACAGGCTGGAGTTCTGGCCTGTGTTTTCTGTGGTTGGGGGTGGAGGTGGTTCCTGAGCCTACAGACCTGAAGACCAGGATTAGACTGACCAGAGGACATGTCACCAAGGAAACAAATGTCCTGGTGGCCTCTGAGTCTGGAAAGACATCCCTGCTGGGGATTTTGAAGACTTCTTCTTCACAGGAAGCCTATCCTGATACACACAGGCCTTCTCCAGGCCCTGAGCCTCCAGGGCTCTCCCAACAGGAACATCTGCCTATACCCCAGCTCCCAGATCCAGCCTAGGGGCAGAAGAGAGAGGCAAACACTTCCAGCCCTGGGCCCCACAACTAGCACTCACTGCGCAATGATGCTTTGAGCAGGCAAAGAGGAGAGCGACGAACACGCAGATTCCTGCGAAGGACACCAGTTGCTCAGGCCGCTGGGAGGTGTCCAGAGACAGCCACAGGACCAGGCCCAGGAAAGCAGCAAGAGCTAGACCCCTGCAGGCAAGAGACAGAAAGCCATTACCCTCAGCATTGCACCCCCACCCCACCCACACACAATAGCACCCGGGGACCCAGAGAAAGGGTGCTCAGGGCTGGGAGGAGGAGAAACAGCACAGCAGAGTGGAAAGAGCACCAGCTCTGGAACCACATGCTGGGAAGGGCTGACCTCGCTGTGTGACCTCAGGCAGATCACCTTGCCTCTCTGAGTCTAGTTTCCTCATGGGTCAAATGAAGCCAGAGACCCCTCATTTCTCAAGGTTGTTGAGAGGATTATATAAGGGGATATATGTACCAAGCTGAGCATAGTGACAAGCACCTGGCTCCATCCAGCTACAGGAATCTCACCGCTGCAGTGATGCTCAGCTCAGCCTCTGACCTTGGGGGAGAAAGGACCTGTGCCACCCAGGACTCAACACTACCAGCCATGACTGCAAAATGCCTAGAAGCATGTGATGTGAGTTTGGACCTCCAAGCTGAGCACCTGAGACCAAGGAACGGATCCTACCTTAACAGCAACACTTCCCTCCCTGGGGCTGGGATTTGTTTGTCCAGGATGCACCCTGAAGGGTGGGAGAATTCAGGTTTTGGCATCAGGTACTCAAGATCTCACCCCAATCCGGTCATCAATTCACTGGGTACTACTAATGACAGTTAACGTTCATTGAGCACCTATTATATGCCAGGTACTATACCGATGCGAGAGACATGTTCTTTTGATAGAGATGAGGAAACTGAGGCACAGAGAGGTTAAATAACTGGCCCAAGGCCACTCATCTAGAAAGTGGCAGAGCTGAGATTTCAACCCAGGCACTCTGGAAGCAAGGTCTATTCACTTAACTACAGTTTTATCCAGGCCGGTCCTAGCTGATAAGCAGGAGATCGAAGAGCTGAACTCAAGCAGGCTAATTCCAGAGCCTACTGCTTTTCTTTCTGCTCATATTTTTAAACTCTTCTCATTCCAGTTCAACATGCACAATCTTTGCCTTGTTTTTGTGCCAACTGTACCTCTCTTTACTTACTATTTCTCTTGAGGTTAACTGACTTTATAAGAACTCAAATGTGGCTGGGCGCAGTGGCTCATGCCTGTAATCCCAGTACTTTAGGAGGCCAAGGTGGGTGGATCACCTGAGGTCAGGCATTCGAGACCAGCCTGGCCACCATGGTGAAACCCCATCTCTACTAAAAATTCAAAAATTAGCCGAGCGTGGCAGTGGGTGCCTGTAGTCCCAGCTACTTGGGAGGCTGAGGCAGGAGAATCACTTGAATCTGGGAGGCAGAGGTTGCAGTGAGCCAAGATCGCACTACGGCACTCCAGCCTGGGTGACAGAGCAAGACGCCATCTCAAAAAAAAAAAAAAAACTTAAATGCTTGTCTCAGATTTTTTATTTTTAACAGCTTTATTAGAGGTATGGTTGATATATAATCAATTGCACATATTGGAGGTGTTCAATTTGATACGTTTTGGCATACGTATACTCCTTGAAACCATCACCGCAATCAAGAGAGTGAACGTATCCATCACACCTTTAGTAATCCTTGCCTCCCTCCCCGTTCCCAGGTAACAGTTGATATGTTTTCTGCCACTAGATTAGTCTGCATTTTTTTTTTTTTGAGACAAAGTCTCATTCCATTGCTCAAGCTGCAGTGCAGTGGCACGATCTCGGCTCACTGCAACCTCCACCTCCGGGGTTTAAGCGCTTTTCCTGCCTCAGCTTCCCAAGTAGCTGGGACTACAGGGATGCACCCCCATGCCCAGCTAATTTTTGTATTTTTAGAAGAGATGGGATTTCACCATGTTGGCCAGGCTGGTCTTGAATTTCTGACCTCAAGTGATCTGCCCGCCTCAGCCTCCCAAAGTGCTGGGATTATAGGTGTGAGCCACCGCACCCTGCCTACTTTGCATTTTTAAGAATTTTATATAAATTTTTAAAAAAGAAAAGAAAGAAGTTTATATAAATAGAACCATACAGTACGTGTCCTTTTTTGTTTGACTTCTTTCACTTAGTGTAATTATTTTGAGATTTATCTAGGTTTCTGCATGATTCACTAGTCTGTTTCATCTTATTGCTGAGTAGTATTCCATTATATGGATATACCACACTTTGCTTATCAGTTCACCTATTGATGGACATTTTGGTGATTTCCAGTTTTCGGCTATTGCAGATAAAGCCGCTATGAACATTCAAAACTTCATGTGCAAGTCTTTGTGTGGATATATGCTTTTATTTCTCTTGGGTAAATGCCTATAAGTGAAATAGGTAGATTACATGATAGGCCTGGAAAGTGCCAATCTGTTTTCTACAGCAATTGTGCAATTTTATATTCCCACCAGCAGTATATAAAAATTTCAGTTCCTCTATATCCTTGCCAACACTTGATATGGTTAGTCTTCTGAATTCTACCCATTCTAATCAGCATATGGTAATATCTCTTTCTGCTTTTAACTTGCATTTCTCTACTGATAAATGATGTTGAGCATCTTACCATGTACTTATTTGCCACTTAGGCATCTTCTTTAAATGTCTGTTCATATCTTGAGCCTTTTTTTGTTTTTTGTTTGTTTGTTTGTTTTTTGTTTTTTTGAGATGGAGTATCGCTCTGTCACACAGGCTGGAGTGCAGAGGCACAAGATCCTGGCTCACTACAACTTCCACCTCCTGGGTTCGAGCAATTCTCCTGCCTCAGTCTCCCAAGTGGCTGGGACTACAGGTGCCCGTCACCATATCTGGCTAATTTTTGTATTTTTAGTAGAGATGGGGTTTCACCATATTGGCCAGGCTGGTTTTGAACTCCTGACCTCAGGGGATCCACCCACCCTTGGCCTCCCAAAGTGCTGGGGTTATAGGCGTGAGCCACTGCTCTTGGCCTTGAGCTCATTTTAAAATTAGGTTATTTTTCTTATTAAAGATTTATGACAAGGCCAGGCACCGTGGCTCTGCCTCCCACGTTCAAGCGATTCTTCTGCCTCAGCCTCCTGAGTAGCTGGGACTACAGGTGTGCGCCACTACGCCCAGCTAATTTTTGTATTTTTAGTAGAGACAGGGTTTCACTCTGTTGGTCAGGCTGGTCCCAATCTCTTGACCTCGTGATCTGCCTGCCTCAGCCTCCCAAAGTGCTGGGATTACAGGCGTGAGCCACCACACCTGGCCTAAGTTAATTAAATTTTAATCAACTAACTTCCTTCCTTCCTTCCTTCCTTCCTTCCTTCCTTCCTTCCTTGCCTTTCACCCTTCCCCTTCCCTTTCCCCTTCCCCTTCCCTTTCTGTCTGTCTTTTTTGAGGCAGGGTCTGCTTTGTTGCCCAGGCTGGAGTGCAGTGACATATAGGCATATTGTGCATAGCTCACTGCAGTCTCGACCTTCTGTGCTCAGGTGATCCTCCTACCTTAGCCTCTCAAGTAACTGGGATCACAGGTGCACACCACCATACCTGGCTAATTTATTTATCTATTTTTTTGTAGAGATGGGGTCTTATGATGTTACTCGGGCTGGTCTCAAACTCCTGGGCTTAAGCAGTCCTCCTAGCTCAGCCTCACAAAGTGCTGAAATTACAGGGATTAGCCACTGCGCCTGACCCCATTTCTTTTTGTAGAACCAGGTTTCTGTCTAGTAGCATTTTCCTTCTCTTCGAAGAATTTCCTTTAACATTTCTTTCTTTCTTCTTCTTCTTTTTTTTTTTTTTTTTTTTTTTGAGACAGTGTCTCACTCTGTCTCCCAGGCTGAAGTGCAGTGGCATTTCTTTCTTCCTTTTTTCCTTTTTTTTGAGACAGTGTCTCACTCTGTCTCCCAGGCTGGAGTGCAGTGGCGTGATCTCGGCTCACTGCAACCTCCACCTCCCAGGTTCAAGCAATTCTTGTCCCTCAGCCACCCAAGTGTAATAGCTGATACTACAGGCGCATGCCACCATGCCTGGCTAATTTTTTTATATATATATTTTTATTAGAGACAGGGTTTCACCATATTGCTCAGGCTGGTCTTGAACTCCTGGGCTTAAGTGATCTGTCCAACTCGGCCTCCCAAATTGCTGGGATTATAGACACGAGCTACCACACCTGGCCGGCAGGCTTGCTTGCCTGCCTGCCTGCCTGCCTGCCTTTTTCTTTTCCTTCCTTCCTTCCTTCCTTCTTTCCTTCCTTCCTTCCTTCCTTCCTTTCTTTCTTTCTTTCCCTCTTTCCCTCTTTCTCTTTCTTTCTTTCTTTCTGCCTTAGTATCTCCCTCTATCGCCCAGGCAGCAGTCAGTGGCGCGATCATGGCTCACTGCAGCCTATGTCTCCCAAGCTGAAGCGATCCTCCTTTCTCAGCTTCCCAAGCAGCTGGGACTACAGGTGTGAGCCACTCCTTTAGCATTTCTTGTAGCGTAAATCTGCTTTTTATGTCTGAAAAATTATTTCAGCTTTTGTATGACTGAAAGAGTTCTTATTTCCTCTTCTTTTTTGAAATACATTTCACTGGTAAAGAATTCTAGGTTGACAGCCTTTTGGGTATTTGCTATTGTTTACTGTTCCATTATTTTCTCACTCATTTTTGACAAGAAATCTGCTAGTAATCCATTTCTGCTCCTCTGCACGTCTTTTTTCTCTAGTTGCTGTTAAGGTTTTATCACTGATTTTAAGTAATTTGATTATTGCCTTGGTATAGTCTTCATGTTTCTTGTGCTGGGGGTTCATGAAATTTCTTTAATCTTTGGGTGTCCAATTGTCATCCTATTTGGATTTTTTTTTTGGACATAATTTCGTCAAATATTTTTTTTCTGCCCTCCTTCTCCTCTGGAGACTTCAATTGTGTATATTTGCCACTGAAGTTGTGCCGTGGTTAACTGATGCTCTGTTTGAATTTTTTCAGGTTTTGTCTTTAAGATGTGTTAGGCAGGGCCTGAGAAGCATTTATTCTAGAGTTGATTTTTTTTTTCTCTGCTACTGAGCCAAAACCTTCTTAGTACGCTAAACAATGCCCTGTGAATTCTGAGGTTTATTCACCTGTCAGGAATAGACACTATTCCTGGCCCTGTGTGATTCCAGGTATGATTCCCTCTTCTCCTTTTGGGTGGTTCTTTCCTAGCCCTAGGGTAGTTTCCTTGTCTGTATTCTCTGAGCAGAACTCAACTGCATGTTCAAGGATTCTCTGCATACCTCTGGGCTTTGCTCTGTGATCTCTCAACTGTGTCTCTGTGCTCTGCAACGTGAACCCTGCCTGCCATGGCTTCCCTGGATTTCCAGCTCTGTCTCTTCAACTTAGGGAATCTCCTGGTCCCACCTCAGTTTTCCTTCCCTGTGCTGTGGTCTGGAAACGCTCTCCAGGCAGTCAGCTGGGGAGACCGTAGGGCTAAACTCATTTGTTTCCTAATCCTCAAGGATCAGTGTCCTTTATTGCCTGATGTCCAACATCTAAGAGCTCTTGTCTCATGTATTCATTCCAGTTTTTTAGCTGTTTCAACTGGGAGGATAAACCTGGTCTCTGTTACCACATCTTAACTGGGAGCCAAAATCAAATGCATGTATTTTTTTTTTTTTTTTGGTGATGGAGTCTTGCTCTGTCGCCCAGGCTGGAGTGCAGTGGCGAGATCTCAGCTCACTGCAAGCTCTGCCTCCTGGGTTCACACCATTCTCCTGCCTCAGCTTCCTGAGTAGCTGGGACTACAGGCGCCCGCCACCACGCCTGGCTAATTTTTTTGTATTTTTAGTAGAGATGTGGTTTCACCATGTTAGCCAGGATGGTCAGGATCTCCTGACCTCGTGATCTACCCACCTCGCCCTCCCAAAGTGTTGGGATTACAGGCGTGAGCCACCGCACCCGACCAAATGCATGCATCTTCTAACAGCTTTATTGAGACAAAATTTACATGTCATACAATTTGCCCATTTACAGTGCATGGTTCAAGGATAGAAGTTCCTCACAAAACTAAAAATAGGACTACCATATGATTCGGTAATTCCACTACTGGGTATATATGAAAAAAAAAAAAAGGAAATCAATATATTGAAAAGACACCTGCACTCCATGTTTATTGCAGCATGATTCCCAATAGCCAAACTATGGAATCAACCTAGGTGCTCATCAACAGATGAATGGATAAAGAAAATGTGGTGTATATACACAATGGAATATTATTCAGCCATAAAAAAACAATGAAATCCTGTTATTTGCAGCAACATGGATGGAATTGGAGGTCATTATGTTAAGTGAAATAAGCCAAGCACAGAAAGACAAATACTGTGTGTTCCCACTCATGTGTGGGAGCTTAAAAAGTACATCTTATGAAGATAGACAGTAGTTTGGTGGTTACCAGAGACTCTGAAGGGGAGGAGGGAGGCGGGATGACGAGTAGTTGATTAATGGGTACAAATATACAGTTTGAGAGAAGAAATAAGACCTAGTGACAGATAGATCAGTAAGGTGGCTACAGTGTACAATAATGTATTGCATATTTCAAAATAGCTAGGAGAATTTGAATAGTTCTAACATAAAGAAAGACAAATATTTAAGTTGATGGATATCCCAAGTACACTGATTTGATCTTTACAAATTATATGAATGTATTAAATTATCACATATACCCTGAAACTATGCACATTTATTAGGCTGGTGCAAAATTTTTTGCATAATGGCAAAACCACAATTACTTCTGCACCAATCTAATAATACTATGCAGCAATTTTTAAAAGTGTATTTTTGTTTGTTTGTTTGTTTGGTTTGGATTTTTTTTTTCTGAGACGGAGTCTCGCTCTGTCACCCAGGCTGGAGTGCAGTGGTGCAATGTTGGCTCACTGCAACCTCTGCCTCCCGGGTTCAAGTGATTCTCTTGCCTCTGCCTCCTGAGTAGCTGCAATTACAGGCGCGTACCACCACACTCAGCCATTTTTTTTTTTTTTTTGCTATTTTTAGTAGAGACAGGGTTTCACCGTGTTAGCCAGGATGGTCTCCATCTCCTGACCTCATGATCCACCCACCTCAGCCTCCCAAAGTGCTGGGATTACAGGCGTGAGCCACCGTGCCTGGCCAAAAGTGTATGGTTTAATGGTTTTTAGTATAGTTACAGATTTGTGCAACCATTACCATAATCCTAGGATATTTTCATCAGCCCAAAGAGAAACCCCAAACCACTGGTGGTCACCACCTCCTCTTCCCATCCGCCCTAGCAGTCACTAATCAACTCTCTGTCTCCACAGATTTGCCCATTCTGGACATTTCATATAAATGGAATCATGCCGTATATGGTTCTTTAAGACTGGTTTCTTTCACTGAGCATGATGTTCCCAAGGTTTATCATTATTGCAGTATTTATCAATACTACATTCCTTTTCATGACTGAATAATATTCTATTGTATGGATATATAGATTTTCTTTATCCATTTTTCAGTTTATAGACATATGGGTAGTTTTCACTACAGAGTAGCTGGGATTACAGGCGCCCAACACCATGCCTGGCTAATTTTTGTATTTTTAGTAGAGACAGGGTTTCGCCATGTTGGCCAGGCTGGTCTCAAACTCCTGACCTCATGATCCACCCACCTCGGCCTCCCAAAGTGCTGGGATTACGGGCATGAGCCACCGTGCCCGGCCAGCCTAACCATTTTCTAAAGCAACTGCACTGTTTCGCATTTCCACCAGCAGTGTCTAAGGGTTTCAATTTCTCCATATCTTTGCCATCACTTGTTATCATCTGTCTTATTGATTATGGCCATCTGACTGAATATGAAGTGGTATCTTATTGTGGCTTTGCTTTGCATTTCCATGATGGCTACTGATGTTGAGCACATTTGCATGAGCTTTTTGGCTAAAGCAAAACCTTTTATCATTCATCAAATGGGTTGTCTTTTTATGGTTGAGTTGTAATTCTGCATACAGTTTCTTTATGCAGACATATGATTTGTACATCTTTTCTCTCATTCCGTGAGTTGTCTTTTCACTTTTTTGATAGTGTGTGTTGCATCAGAAAGTTTTTAGCTTTTATGAAGTCCAGTTTATCTGCATGCATTTTTTAAAGGAAACTTCCTATCAGTCCCTCAAGCGGAAAACCATTATCAATGACTTGTCACAGAAGACCATTGCAAAAATAAATCACAAATGTATTTAATAAAGAGAAGTCAAATGTAACAGTAAATGTATTTATAAATAAAATTTTAAATGTGTTCATCCACAGGCTGGCTCAAATCATTTTGCTGTGGTATGTGGATCTCACTTTGGGAAAGTGAGAGGCACCCCTGTACCCCTGCATCCCCCTGACTTAGTCTTTGGGTATCTTTGGTCACCAGCTTCTTCATCAACAAAATAGAGTATTGAAATAGACTGGTGGTCTTCAGACTTTTTTTTAAGCCATAGAAACTGTTTTTTTCCCCCAGCGAATTTTCTTTTTTGTGTGAACCTTGGCTTATAAAACACATAAATTTAGAGCTGCCTGGTGAAATGGTGGGCTGGGCGGGAAGTCTGAATTTTCCCTCCACAACCTCCCTCTCCTGCCCTGTGACATCGCTGAGATTTCCAGCGCTCCAAGGAATCCAGTTTGAAAAGCAGCAGATCTCAAACTGTTGTCCAAGGACGCTGCTGGCTACATCAGAATCCCCTGGAGGCTAATGAAAAATACCAGCACCTGGACCCCGATCGAGCCTGCTGAATCCCCCTCCAGGGATGGTCCCTGCGGCTTTTTGTCTCACACTGTCCAGGTGATCTGAGGGAGGTACTGATTCGGGCCCTCCTTGCTCCATGGCCTGGGATCCCTGAATGGAGGAAACTGTTGAGTCCAGTTTTCGTCCACCACAGTCACCTGCTGTAACTGGGACTAAGAACTGGTGAAACACCACAAAGATGCTGCTTTGTTTGAAGCCACCCACTGGCTCCTGCCCTGGGGCGCCAGAGAGTTCTCCATGACACAGAGCCTTCCTCCTCCTCCAGCCCTGGCCATAACCCTGGAGCCAACCCCTCAGCTCATGGGCCCTCCCCTGCCCTGCCTCGGGGCTGTGAGCTCACTCACCTCTTAAACCAGAGCAGCAGGCGGGGATGGCCCTGAGGCTTGAGAAACCTCCTCAGCTTTGGCCCCAGAAGCCGTTTCAGCAGGCGGTGGCCCAGGAAGGTGAGGACCACACAGGTGAGGACAAACAGAGCCAGGGCCCTCTGGAAATCCAGGAGGCAGGCCACCAGCAGGAAGGCAGAGAGCCCTGGGGGATGAGACAGAGGAGGGGTCAACAGCCAGGACACCACCTCTTCAGAACCCTGCAGCCCCGCCCGCGGACTCCACCTTACTCCACCCAGAGCGTGGAGGGCAGGAAAGTCACCCAACCTCACTGAGCCTGTTTCCTCATCTGGAAATGAAAACAACCACCGCTACTGTGCCAAAAAGTAGTTAGGAGGTACTGGCAGAAAGTGTTGTGAAAGGGCCTTGCAAACTGTAAAGTGCTTACCAAATGTGAGGGAGATGTGTAAGGAGGCCGTGAAGCCAAACAGCAAGAGGCGCTGGGCATCAGTGGAGCATCTGCTGTGGTCCAGCGCCATGCTAGGCCCCACGGAGGAAGGAGACGAGCCCATCAGCTACTCCGTGAAGGAGTTTACACATGTGTGCTCGGACTGCGTTCTGAAATGTTCATCAATGAGCATGCTTCCTGGAGTTTCCTTTCCCCTTTTGCCCTTCTCTTCTTTGAGCCACTCAGCCAGTCCATCAGGAAAGACACATAAGAATGGATAGCAGAGGGGGAGATGTCTCTCCCTAGATTTTTTTTTTTTTTTTTGGAGATAGGGTCTCACTTTGTTGCCCAGGCTGGAGTACAGTGGCATGATCTCGGCTGACTGCAAACTCTGCCTCCTGGGTCCAAGCAACCCTTCTGCCTCAGCCTCCCGAGTAGCTGGGATTACAGTTGCCCACCGCCATGGCTGGCTAATTTTTGTATTTTTGGTAGAGACAGGGTTTCGCCATATTGCTCAGGCTGGTGTTGAACTCCTGGGCTCAAGTGATCCGCCCACCTCAGCCTCCCAAAGTGCTGCGATTACAAGCGTAAGCCACCGCGCCCGGCCTCTCCCTGGCTTTTGAATTTCAGAATCCAGGATCTTCGAAGAATGGAAAGGACTCATAGCCATGGATAAAAAATGTGATCTGAAACATCACGAATAAAGGTAAGTTCTACCCAACCCCTCTGGTACAGGCAATAACAAGGACACTGGTATCACAGAGAAAGCGCCTGAGCCTGGCAAGGCCGCCAAGCCAGGTGTGTTTGCAGCATTGCAAGCAGTGAAGCCCTGTGACTGGCTTCCTGGTCGAGTCCCAGGGAGGTCCCAGGACTGCAGAGAGAGGAATGCCCGTGTGGTGCGTGGCAAGCAGGGCCCTAGAAAGCCAGTGAGGCTCTGCAGGCACCAAAACAGCGGAACTAGTCTCCACGAGAGGCCTGAAGAGAAGAGAGGCGGGAGACCAGAATGAGCCCACCATGGAGAAGAGGGGGTCGCCATGGCCACCTGCAAGGATAGAGGACCCAGGACCAGCTGGAGAAGTGGACAGGTCAGGAGACACTTGAGGAGTAATGATAGATAAGCCCCCCCGGTGACCCCCAGAGGAAGGGATGAAGGGAGGTTCCAAATGGACAGAAATTGAGTTCCCGTCACTCACTGGAATGATAACATTGAGGGAGAAGATAAGTTGAGTTATAAAAAATAAAATGACCTTTCTCTCACATGGAAGCTTGTGGGCTGGAGTTCCTACCTGAACGGGTGTCATTGAGACACACGGGTGGAGCCCCACAGAGCGGTGCTGGGGCTGCTGGCACCGGCCATGGGGGTTCAGGGGAGGGGGACCTGGCCAGGGAGAGGCTCCGTGGTCGCCAGGAGGTGAGCTTGGCACTTCAGATGCATTTTCACAATGAATCCTCACAAGACCCCTACAAGGTGGGGTCTACAGTGATGCCCACTTGGAGAGGGAGGCCTCTGAGGCCAGCCGAGATGAGTGCCTCACACAGGGAGGGCATGGGGCTAGGAGGCCAAGAAGGTCTGTGCGCCTCAGGGCCTGTGCTTTGTGGTCGGGGCGGGCCAGGAAGGCTGGGGGGGTCTGGGCAGGCCAGGATGGGGACTCAGGGAGAGGGGGCAGTGTGGAGGGGTCCTCCAGGAGGGGCACAAGGACAGAAGTGCTTTTGGAAGTATTTTATTCATCTAGGATCCATTCACAGGGATTGGTTTGGGGACGGGCAGGACCTGAGCTAAGCTCCTTGAAGACCTCCCTGGGCTTTGGCTGGGAGAGCGGGCAAGAGGCACCTCCTTCTTCTAAGACTGGGGACACCAAGGCCATCCTTGTTAGTCTGATGGTGCCAGCGCTGTCGCTGCACCCATGGAGAAGGCCTACCTAAGGCAAGCAAGCCACTGTCGCAGCTCAGGAGCCAAGTCCTGAGAATATGAGCCTCATTTCTCTATCACAGCTATTCCCAGAACGTCTGTGAACAGCCTCCCCAGGAAAGAGGTGATGTAATAAAGATATTGAAAAGCCAGAGAAATCAAAGTCACCCAGAAACAGAGAAAGTCACTGCTGACCATTGCAAGGGATCATTCAATGATTCAGATTGCATTCCTGACAGCCATGGCAAACATGGAAATAGGATGAGTGGGGTAATTTTCATTCTCTACTGGAGAGAATTCAATTGTTCTTCAAGAGAAACAAATCAGATCTGAGTGAAGGAGGCAGCCAAGGAAACAGAGATGGCCCTGGCTTCAGACCCTGCCAAAGGTGGACATCACCATCTCTAGAAGGAAGCTGTGAGGGACATGGACCCACCCCATCTCAGCAGATGACCCTACTTTCAAGTTCACCAAGCAGACCAGGTCATTGCTGTCGCCTCTCTCACTGCCCCTCCCCTCCAGAGCACCTATAATGACTCTGCATCTGTACCCATCCTCCTTTTTCTTTTTTTAAAATTTATTTTTATTTTTAAAATTTTTTGTAGAGGTGGGGTCTTGCTGTGTGGCCCAGGCTGGTCTCAAACTCCTGGGCTCAAACAATCCTCCCACTACAGCCTCCCACTACATCCTCCCAAAGTGCTGGGATTACAGGCATGAACCACCTGCCATGCCTGGCCCCTCTTTAATTCCAACCTGTCAGAATGAGGTGAGCTTGCTCCTGCAAAGACCCACCCCTCCCGGTGGGGTGGGGAGCTTTTCTACTCCGTGCCAGGGGACCTTGCTCCATCGGACATCTCTTCATCTCCCATTCCTTCATATTCCTTCTACAAACTCCCCACCTCAGCTCGTACAAACAAAGTGTCTCCCACCCCAAACTCATGCCCATCCTTGACACTGGGTCACACCCTGCCCATTCAGCCTCCCCGCCTGATCTCATAAAAATTGATCCAAAAAGCCATTTACACTTGCTGTCTGCACAGCCTCATCTGCCATCCGCTCCAATTCAGTTTTTGCACCTACACCCTAAGTCACCAGTGGCCTCCTTGTCCCTAAATCGGTGGACATGGCTCAGTTTTTGTCCTGCGGGTCTTGCAGAGATGCTGCTGATCTTTCCCTCCTTGAAACCCTTGCTCCTTTGGCTGCCGCCAACCCCTTCTGTGTGGCTGGTCTCCAGGCTTCTGTCCTTGACCCACTTCTCAATTCATTCTCCAAGTGTGCCTGGGGAGCCTCCTCTCTCCCTCAGATGGCCTGGCAGTGGTACCTCCAACAAACTATCCTAATTATCCCCCTTCCTGCCAAGACTCCCTCTGCACGCATGTTCTCTAGCTCTGTGGAAGACACCATCATCCTCCTATCACCCGAGCAGGCCCCTGGGGCAGCCCTAATTCAGGGTTTCCTTCATGCTGCACACCCAGTCATTGCCAAGTACAGCTAGCATTGCTTCCCAAGGACCTCTCCCATTGCCCCCGCCCACCTTCCACAGCTTCATTCTCACACAGGCATTGCAGTCCTCAATGTCTCCATCTCCCCCTCTTTCCTGCCCTCCTTCCAGGGTCCCACCGTGTGAATTCCACCTTGACGCTTCCCTGTTCAAAACCTTCAGTGGCTCTCTCTGGCCTTGAGGGTAAAATCCAAGTCCTTGAGCATCCTCCCATATCCCTACCCACTCCCCATCCTGGGCCCTTTCCTATCTCTCCAGCCCCATCCCCTGACACTCCTTGTCTAGAACTTTACCCTCCAGACCTTACAGTGCAGACGTCGAACTTTATCGAAACCCACACCCTGCCAGTTTTCACCTTTGCTCCTGTGACTCCTCTGTGTGGAGTGCCTTTGCCCTCCTTAGTATCTATCACCTCCACCTGGCTAACTCCTACTTAGCCTGTGAGACTCCAATGTCACCTCCTCCTGGAAGTCCTCCCTGATCATCCCCCATTCCTCCTTGGTGTTCCCAGATGACATGCTGCATTATGTGGGACTATTTCTTCCGCCTCCCTTACTGATGAGGGAGTGCCTTGGGAACAAGATCTGGCCTGGCTTAACAGATGCCTCAGTACCCAGCAAGGGAGCTGGACCTGAGTTGGTGCTCAACAACCATTTGTTGAATGACTGGGTGAGTGAATGACCCTGCCCTGAGACATGGATAGCTGAGGCAGGAGTCATTGTGTCCTGGGTAGTGCTGGGCCCCAGGCTCACCAGTGCAGAGCAGGCCTGTGCCGATCCATCGAAACAGCTGCATGTGCTCCCTGCAGAAGCTTCTGGCTCTCAGGGCTGGCTGCAGGTTCCTCCTGGGAACAAGACCAGCAGGGTCCATGAGTGCATGAGCAGACCCCATCTGGGGGAGATCCTCAGCACCTCCACTCAGGTATGTCCCCAGTAAAGTGGCAACAGGGGCAAGCCAGGGCTTGCCTTGACATCCCCACAGGGCTGCAGGGCAACCCCAGCCCAGGGCAAATGTAGAAATGGTTCAGGCCTTCCTGCCTCTGTGGCAGCACCCACAGGCCCCACTACCCCAGTGATAGTCCCTGCCTCCAGGGCTCAGGAGGAAGTTCACTGAAAAGGCAGAACCTCATCAACATACAGAAATGTGG
Source organism: Homo sapiens (assembly GCF_000001405.40). Lineage (NCBI taxonomy): Eukaryota > Metazoa > Chordata > Mammalia > Primates > Hominidae > Homo > Homo sapiens. Next base: position 84,890,139 of record NC_000015.10, on the reverse strand, counting down.
CCGGTGGGGGGGCGCGGTGGCTCACACCAGTAATCCCAGCACTTTGGGAGGCCCAGGAGCGTGGATCACTTGAGCCCAGGAGTTCAAGACTAGCCTGGGCAACATGACAAACCCCTTCTCTACCAAAAACACAAAAATTAGCCAGGCATGGTGGCGTGCGCCTGTAATCCCAGCTGCTCAAGAAGCTGAGGCAGGAGAATCTCTTGAGCCCAGGAAGGGTTCGTGCCACTGCACTCCAGCCCAGGCAACAGAGTGAGACCTGCCTAAAAAAAAAAAAAGAGAGAAAGGAAGGAAGGAAGAGAAAGCAAGCAAGCAAGAAAGAAAGAGAAAGAAAGAAAAAAGAAAAGAAAGAAGGAAGGAAGAGAGAAAGAAAAGGAAGGAAGGAAGGAAGGAAGGAAGGAAGGAAGGAAGGAAGGAAGGAAGGAAGGAAAGAAGGAAGGAAGGAAAGAAGGAAGGAAGGAAAGAAGGAAGGAAGGAAAGAAAAGAAAAAGGAAAAGAAAAGAAAAGAAAAACATGGATGGCTGCCTCCCCTCCCCTGTCGTTCATCCACCTGCCCATGGGACACACATTGAGTAGACGCCCACTCAATGCTAATTGGAATCCACCCACCAGCTGCCATTTTAAGGAGCCTCACCTCCTCTCAGTCCCCACCTCCCACCTCCTCCTGAGAGGGTGGAGGAGGCATTCTTCCCATATCCCCTGCCCAGGCAGAGAGACGGAATCCCTCCCCCACCACCACCCCCTGCCCATCACGGTGTCCTCAGCTCCGGATCTGGCCAACAAGGACCCAGATGGCCCAGGCATCAGGAGGTGGAGTTCTATGCTCACCTCAGACACTCGCTGCCTATGCCATCCTGGCTGGTCCCTTCCCCTCTCTGGGCTTCTACCTCCCTGTGTAAAATCAGGGACCTTGCCCAGTTCAGGATTTTTAACCGGAGTCTTCAGACTCCCCGAGGTACCCCAGAGACTGAATGGGGGTAGAAGGCAGAAGGGGGAGGTTGAGAGGGAGGCCTGGCTGGTTCAGGGCAGGCCCCACGGTACATACTGGGGTTCCTGATGGGATTTCGTTTCAGCTGTTCAAAAGCAGGTGGGGAGCCTGTGACTTGGCTCACCCTCGAGGCTCATGTGCCTGTGCGTGTTGGCTAAAGCGCCTTTATTCCTCCCTTCAACAAAGGTTCACGTCCCCCCAACTCCCATCCGCCAGGAGGCCCGGCTCCCCATCCTGTTCCCAAGCAGCCTCCACCCCAGGCCCGCCCTTGTCTCTCCAGAGATCACCTACCATCTGGAGAAGGGCTTCGGCGCCGCCTCGCTCCAGCTGCTCCTGATCTCTGCGGGGCTCAAGTCACTCCTAGGGAGCTGGCCTTCCTCCTACAGCCCGCAGGGAGCCGTCAGGTCGGCCTGCCCCTTACCCACCCCCAGGAACTTACAGCTGGGGGTCGGGGGCCACGGTGAGACCCTGGCTGAGGAGGGGACTGGGCTGGGGCACAGGGAGGAATTAGAAGGCTACTAAACTGGATTCTGCAAGGCAGGCACTGAGCACCTACTGTGTGCAGGGCTCTGCCAGACACATCTTGCCCTCAGCGAGCTCATGGTCTGCGCAGGGACAGACACCTGCGGCCCAGCTGTGACTGAGAGGGGCCGAGGGGAGGCCTGTAAGGGAGGCCCCAGGCAGGGCTACCTCATCACATGACCTCAGGGCACCATGCACCCACCGTCTGTGGAGCTGTTTTGGGTGGGGGGTGGGTATTCTTGCATATGACAGCGTGAAAGGAGCACCCCAAGAGACAAGGGCAGTGAAGGGGAGGGGGCTTTGTCAGAGGAGCCTGGGAGCGTGCAGGGTATCCTACCAGGCTCCGAGTTCTGGGTGGTGTGCCTCGACCTGACCTGGCCACTTGAAAGCAAGGACAAGGCTCCTTGAAGGCTGAGATTTCCTTAGAGACCCCCCTCCCCCATCATCTGGTTTTGATTCTCATTCTGTAGGTCACAGCTCTAATGTCACTTCCTCACTGGGGCCTGCCCTGCCCTTTCAGACTAGGACTTTCAGACTATAGTGCACACAGTACGTGCTCAGTCAATGTTTAATGAGTGAAATAAAGGGGTCTGCCTTGTGTTGAGGAGGCCAACACACTGGGAGGTTCATAACTGTGCCAGCAAAGAGGTGAGAAGGGGGCAGAAGAATGGGGTATGAGGGAAGGTGGTGAGCAAAAGCCTCATCACCTCGGCAGCCGGGCTCAAGCCAAAGAGGCTGAGGGGTCAGGATGACTGATGGGGAAGGGTACAGACCAGGCTTTCCAAGAAATCAGCCCCCATGTTCTCCAGACCCTTGGCCACAGGTGTGAGAGAGATGGACTCTCTTCGTCTCGAGGGGTCGTTCTCCATGTCCCAGACCTTCCAGCTGAAAGACAAATCAGGGAGCGCCCAACGCTGAAAGGGAGGCCGGGCAGGGCCCAGTTTAGGGGCCCGGGGAAAGGGGAGAGGACTGAGTGGGGGGAGCAGATGCCTGGCACAGCCAGAGCCCTGCCTGGGGGCCACCTATGCCATCCCAGAGCTCACCCCTCCTTGTGACTGGGACTGCAACCTTGACTTCTCAGCACATGGAGGAGGTACCTCTTCCTTTTTCTAGAGACTGGGTCTCCCTGTGTTGCACAGGCTGGCCTCCAACTCCTGGGCTCAAGCAGTCCTCCCACCTCAGCCTCCCAAAGTGTTGGGATTACAGGCGTGCGCCACCACCCCAGCCTGCACCCACATCTGAACCTGTAAGAGGCAAGTCCTTGTGAACTCTGGGAGTTCCAGGCAGAAACAGCAAATTCTGCCCACTTCATAGGGAAGGAAAGTAAAGAATTATATACAGCCTGCATATGTATCTGATACAGGCATTTTTCTGAAGAGAGGACCTAGCTTTCATCACTCCCTACAACTGGTTAAAACTATTACCATTAAGTGAGATCTTCAGTGTATTCTACTTTTCCATCTCTGAAAGATGGAGGTGCAACATCCTTAAAGGCATCATTCCAGTTCCTGGATCCAACTATACCTGAAACCAATCCTACTCCTGGACTTTCCATTGCAAGAATCAATATAGTTCATTTTTTGCTGAAGCTCAGTTCGTAGGCTTAAGCTCATCTGTAAATAAGAGTGGTAACTAACACCTCCTCTCTCCCTTCTCTTGTTCCCGCTCCTTTTTCTCCCCTTGGGTGGTGCCCTACTCCATCCAAATGCCAGCCCAGTTAGGCTGACATACTCAGAGACCCGTGCATGTGCGTGCACACACACAGGCAGAGCCTGGGAATGCCCTGGCTCACACACAGACGCACAGCAGCGCACACAGAAGCGGGGCCCTGTTTCTACTCACGTATTTGCGGTTAACAGGTCGCTCTCAGAGAGAGAGGGAAGCACACGTCTCTGTGGGGACAAGCTGGGTCCAACCTGCTTTGGCTCTGGCTTGCCTTGTCACTTCAGCAGAAATTCCTGGGCAGAGTCCAGGGTCGGAGTAGGTTGGGCCTGCCACCCAGTTCTGCCCAGCGCCTCCCCAGAGGCCAGGGCCACAGCCAGGGTGGGGACCCCAACACGGTCTCAGGGATACAGGAAGCAGGCCCACTTGCAACCTGGCTCCCTGCAGCTCCTGCCCACTGGCTGCTGCTTCTCCATCAGAGATGCCCTCCTCTGCCCTCTCCCCAGTTCCCAAACTGACCTCTTCCAGGCCTATTAGGGCCGCTTCTTCCAGGAAGCCACCTATGTGATTATTTCCCTCCCCCTCCTTCCTTCCCATGGCCTCCTTTCCCCAGCCAGGCTGTTAGCTTTTTGCATTTTATCTTTCATTTTGCATCTTTCTCTATCTCCCTTTCTCACTAGATGGGGATTTATTATAACAGCAACCAATTTTCCTGTGCTGGAAAATGAGGAAAGCAGTGTAGCTGTGAGAAATAGTAAAAGTGTTTCAGGTCTGTCAAGAAAACAAAACCAAATCACACCATTTCCCCTTCATTTCATCTTTGTTAAATGAATACCTAAGCCAACGGTGTGCAAAGCGAAGGGCTGAATGCTTTAGTTTTCCAGTCCTCACACTAAACATTAAACTCATCTGACGGGATTCACAACATCTCTTTAATAATTAATGGTACGCGCTCAGGACAAAATCCTCTATGATGCATAAATACTTGCTAGTACCGGCACCTCCTGGTTGTTTTGGAAGTTTGGAGAGGATGGTGGATGGACACCCCCTCTTTTTGAAAACATTTTTTCTTCATCTGTCATTTGAATTACCAAAGCATTACAAGTGTATCATTAAACATTTAAACATTAGAGAAATATACAGAATGAGGGAAGTTAAAGTCCCCGGAATCTGAGCCCTCAGGGATGACCACTATTGAGTTTGTGTGGCATTTTCCTCCTTTTTTTTTTTTTTTTTGAGACGGAGTTTCACTCTTGTTGCCCAGGCTGGAGTACAGTGGTGCGAGCTCGGTTCACTGCAACCTCCGCCTCCCAAGTTCAAGCGATTCTCCTGCCTCAGCCTCCCAAGTAGCTGTGATTACAGGCATGCGCCACCACACCTGGCTAATTTTGTATTTTTAGTAGAGATGGGGTTTCTCCATGTTGGTCAGGCTGGTCTCGAACTTCCAACCTCAGGTGGTCCACCCACCTTGGCCTCCCAAAGTGCTGGGATTACAGGCATGAGCCACCGCGCCTGGCCTTTTCTCCACTTTTTTTTTCCTAAATGTATGTTATTTTATGTTATTCATTTTCCAATAGGGGATCACACAGTAACAGTGTTCTCATAATTTGATTTTTCTAGCAGAGTTCCGCACACTGTTGAGAGCCCATGTGTTACCTTGATTGAAAACTAGCCACAGAGCAAGACTCTACCTTTAAAAAAAAAAAAGAGGGGGGGCACGGTGGCTCATGCCTGCACTCCCAGCACTTTGGGAGGCCAAGGTGGGCAGATCACTTGAAGCCAGGAGTTCGAGACCAGCCTGGCCAACATGGTGAAACCCCGTCTCTACTAAAAATACAAAAATTAGCCAGGCATGGTGGCAGGTGCCTGTAGTCCCAGCTACTCGGGAGGCTGAGGCAGGAGAATTGCTTGAACCCGAGAGGTGGAGGCTGCAGTGAGCAGAGATCACACCACTGCACTCCAGCCTCGGCAACAGAGCGAGACTCTACCTCAAAAACAGAAAAGAAACAAAAACTAAATGCCTCTGAGCAGCACTACTGTCTCCATGGGTGGCCACCACAGGGATGGGCCTGGAGCTGTCCTCGAAGGGGTCTTCGCCAAGCCCTAGTGAAGAAAAAAAGGACGCTACCTGCTTTTCCACTTTGCCCTGTGCTACCCCCTTCCCCTCCTTTCTTCAGTCCCGCCTTCCCTCCTCTCCTACTGTCCTTTTCTCTCACCCTTGTTTCTGTCAGCATCCAGAGGGAAGCCAGGAACACAACACATCCAGCAGCAACCATGCAGTGCAGCTTATAACCTTCACATCGTTGTGGGCCCTAATCTCTACAACAAGGATTTAATGGGCTGTGTGTCTTGGGGTGGACCTTGAGCTTGGAGCCCAAAGGTCTCCACTCCTGACTGCCAAAGTTAACTTGCTGCCTCATCTGGTGGTGGGTAATAGAGCACATGAGGAGTCAGCGTGCTCCTGCTTAGGAAGTACCTGGCAGGGAGTCAAGCGGCATCAGGCTGGCAGGTGTCATTGCTGTCACAGGTCCCATCCGGGGTGTCCTGACACACTGCTCCCCTCCTCCAGGCCAGGAGACTCCGGGCTTCTCCCCTGCTCCTCCTCTCAAGGAGGCATGGCCAGCAGGGATCCCAGACCCCAGAAGCCAAGCGGTCTTTTCAGGTGGAATGTGGCAAAAAGCCACAGGCTGGGGAGTTGGGAGGCTGGATAGATTGGGGTGGAGACCCCAGGGAAAGACCAACAGCTGGAGGACCTCAGGTGTCCCGGCTGTGCCCCTCCAGCTGTGGGACCTCAGCATGTCCTTGGGCTTCTTGGTGGCCTGTTTCCTAAGGAGACAGCCTCTGAGGCCCGGCACACCCGCAGACGCCCGCTGAGTGAGACCTAGAGCTGAGCCAGGCCAGGGCAGAGTGGGGAGAGGACCACATAAATATACATAGATAATTTCCCTCACCATCCAGCAGAGCTCAGAAGGGTTGACAGTAAAGGGGCTGCTCCACCCCTCCAACTCTATCCCATTCCTCAGAGGCAACCACCTAACTTTTCTGGTTTTAGTTCTTCTGCAGGCCACCTCCTGTTTTAGGGAATTATTAGTCAAAGAGTTGGAGAGGATCCCTTCTCGCCAGGCTCTGACATAATAGGTTATTTTATAAGTAGTGAGTGAAACATTCAAAAAGCACAAGAACTGTCAGAAGAGTTGCTCAGCAATCTCTTTATTTTCTTCTCATGATTCTGCCCACACTCATTTCTTAGCTCTTCACAGGCGAGGTCTCTTTCATTGCATCGATTCGTGTATCCAAGCACTGGACAAATAAAGAGGCTTATCACTCGTCAAGTTCCATGAACATGACCTCATCATTCTTCTCTCCTAAACCTGGGATGATTGGCAGAAAGGGCATCCATACAACTTTTTCTTCTGCATTTGGCATTGAAAAATGGACTTCCCGTAGTCTGTAGTAGAAATATTGGAAAGTAGCAATAATCCTAGCACTTTGGGAGGCCAAGGCAGGTAGATCGCTTGAGCCCAGGACTTCAAGACCAGCCTGGGCAACACAGGGAGACCCTGTCTCTACAAAAAATAGAAAAAATTAGACAGGTGTGGTGGCGTGCACCTGTAATCCCAGCTACTCAGGAGGCTGAGGTGGGAGGATCATTTAAGCCTGGGAAGTCAAGGCTGCAGTGAACCATAATCACACCACTGCACTCCAGCCTGGGCGACAGGAGTGAGACCCTGTAAAAAAAAAAATTGATGACATAGAGCTAAATACAAAGACTAAAGAAATATCTTGGGCTTTTATACTCTTTGCTTGTGACTCTTCTAGTTTTCCTGTGGGAACGGACTAGCCCAAGTGTTAGAGCACACTGCTCTCCCGGCAACTACAGAGCTAGTTCAGCTGGTCCCAGGGGAAGAAAGCATTCCAGTACCCCAAAGGCTGGAAGCCCCCAGCCTGCTTGGCATGATTATCCAACGGTTTCCGATATAGTTTACTCCTTGACCCACTCTACTCACTGAGAACATCTGGGCACATGTGGTCATCATCCAATACAAAATGGAAGGCCGAGTCTGGGGCTCATCTACGGCAGCAACAAGAGGCCTGGTAGAATTAGGATGCCGGGTCCCACCTGCAGGAGTGCTTAAGGCCACCAGGCAGGGCGAATTTTACCCAAGCAGTTCAGAGCTCACTGTTCCCAAATATTTAATATTTAATTGATTGTACTTAAAAAGTGTATTTCCCTTGTTGTTCTTTTTACCTTCTATTCCTCTTGCCTCTCCAGCTCATATTAGCATTTTATTTATTCATTTATTTTTTTGAGACAGGGTCTCACTCTGTCTCCCTGGCTGGCGTGCAGTGGCGCAATCTCAGCTCACTACAGCCTCGACCTCCCACCAATCCTCCCACCTCAGCCTCCAGAGTAGTTGGGACTACAGATGTGCACCATACGCCAGCTAATTTTTTTTTCTTTTTTAAAAAATTTCATCCTGGTTGTTCTAATATTTATTTATTTACCTATTTTGTAGAGACAGGGTCTTACCATGTTGCCCAGGTCTAGAACTCCTGGGCTCAAGTGATCCTCCTGCCCCGGTCTCCCAAAGTGCTGGGATTACAAGTGTGAGCCACTGTGCCCAGCCTCATATCAGCTTTTCATATAGTGAGAAATTGAGATAGTTCCTTTTCAGTTTGATCCAGATCAAGATGTTCTGCAAACCAAGGGTCTTAATTCATGTTATGCTATTGGGTTCAGGGGTGATGTCCCTGTCTATTATAGGTTTTATACTAAAGGCTATATCTTCCTTCTAAAGTACACTTCCTCCAGCTATTGGCAGGGGCTGTGGAGACTATTAATTTGGATCTCCATTGCCTTATTGATCAAGTCACAGTTGATAAGCCGATTCGCTATACAGACAAAAATAATTCCTTGATTGTTCCATCTTCTCCCCCTGTCATAGAAGTGGTCTGATGTGGCCCTCACTGAGACTTAGGGCGAAGCCAGATATTTTTACAGGAGTAATCATGAAGAGGACTTAAGGCCTCCTGGCAGGAGCCAGGAAAACAAATCTACCAAAGACCAGCAGGGTCCATAGAGAAGTGCTGACAAGTAGGGCACCACAAATTAAATACAATTGTTAGGTAGAACAAAAACGGACACCTGTGAATGTCACGTCCCATATTCAGACATTGAAACTCTCCAAGCATATCTCGTCCCCTACCCCCCAGGTGGAATTCCACCACTAGTGTCCTGCCATGGAGTCAAAGGCGTGGCTGTGTCTTTCACTCTACTCTCACTGGTACTCTCACTGTTGTTCCTGGATGGGCCTGCCAATCAGACGCCATGACTCACTTGGAAACACTCCTTTCCATTTCACTACACCTGTAGAAGCAAGGTTCCTGATTCCAAGGGCTGCGTCCAATTCCCTCAGTTCTGTGGCCGTGGAGACCTGACCCATCACAGAAGCTCAATACTGGCCAGCTCATGGGCCGGGAGCCTCAGCTGTAGCATTTCCTGTTGGTTCCCATCAGTCTCCTTCCCCAGGGCAGTGCTGGTCCCCACAGGGATGAGAGCTGGAAAGGTAGTACTCAGGGGCTTGGGCAGAGAGCTTTTTTAACCACCCCAACCTCAGGAAACGGAGAGGCACTGGAGCTCCCAGGTTGGAGGGGAAGAGCAGTGTGTGAGGGGCCCTGAGATGGATCCTGTAGTTCCAGGAGATGGTGACAACAATGGTACCAGCTGGCACACTTAAGAGCTTGGCAGATGCCAGGCTCTGTGATAAGAGCCTTACATGCACTATCTCAAGGAACCCTCACAATAACCCAGTGAGGTAGGCATTGGCCACTGTTTCCCCTACCTGTCCTCCATGGGGGAGTATGACGGGGCAGCCAGTACCAGAAAGGGAGCAACTATTGAGAAGCTGGCCAACCTGAGGTAAAGCCAGGGGCCACCGCGCTGCGTGCTAGTATTTGGAAGATCTGAGCTAGCTCTTGAGGTGTCTGCCCCATGTGACCATCTCATCGGCTGCCTGACAGGCAGGATGGATTCTGGACCCCCGCTTGGACTCTACTGCTGGGGACTGTGTTCTCTGGCCAGACTCTGTGTCATCAGGGTTATGGTGTCTCTGAATGACTTCCTGGGTAAGACCCAGTGTGAATTCTGCAAGGATTGATTTACTGGGCAGTCAGCCCCATATCCTGAATAAGAATCCAACTGCTCCAAGGATATACATTTTGCCATGATAGAAAAGATGAGCCCTCATACAGTGGCTCACGCCTGTAATCCCAGCACTTTGGGAGGCTGAGGCGGGCAGATCACTTGAGGTCAGGAGTTCGAGACCAGCCTGATCAACATGGTGAAACCCAGTCTCTACTAAAAATATAAAAATTAGGTGGGCATGATGGTGCATGCCCGTAGTCCCAGCTACTCGGGAGGCTAAGGCAGGAGAATTGCTTGAGCCCAGGAGGCACAGGTTATCGTGAACCAAGATCATGCCACTGTACTGCAGCCTGGGTGACAGAGCGAGGCTCTATTTCCAAAAAAAAAAAAAAAAAAAGAAAGAAAGAAAGAAAAGAAAAAGAAAGGAAAGAAAAGATGAGCCACCAGCATGGTAGCACATGCCTGTGGTCCTGGCTACTTGGGAGGCTGAGGTGGGAGAATTGCTTGAGCCCAGGAGTTCGAGGCTGCAGTAAGCCATGATAACACCACTGCACTCCAACCTGGGCAATACAGCAAGATCCTGAAAAAAAGAAGACAGAGAGAGAGAGAGAGAGAGAAAGAGAGGAAAGAAAGGAAAGAAAGAGAGAGAGAGAGGGAAAGAAAAAGAGAAAGAAAGCGAAGAAAAGAAGAGTCCCAGTGAAATTTCTCTGTCAGCGAGAGCCAACACAGCAGGATGCCTGATGGATCTTATGCAGATTCCTTAGCCTGAGATGGGGATTCTGTTCAAGTGATTTATTGGGGGAGTGTTCTTGGGAGAAGGGGATAAGGGAGGCAGAATAGGGCCAAGGGAAGAAGCAGCAGTGTGGTCTCGGCTGGGGCTTGGCTTTAGTCTGATCCCACAGAGACACCCTAGAGCCCAAACTCTCCCATGGAGTTAGTTCCACTTTGAGGTGAAGCAAGGACAGCCTTTCGTAGCAGTGCTAGTCATGGGCCAAGGATGGGGGCAAGGATTAAGAGTGGAAGTGGGGATTGCCTCCCGGGTGAGGTGGCTTCCATTTGGCTCAGGACAATGCTTCAAAATGTATGTTTTTGGAGCAGTTGATTCTTATTCTCTGAGCGACCCCAGCATGCTTCAGAGAAGGGGCAGCTGTGAGTTGCTACCAACTAACAGCGCCTGGGGGATGGGTTCCCCGCGGTAAAGGGCATCTGGGCAGGGCACCAGCAGCATCCACTACAGGTAGGAATAGATTGCTTCTGTTGGCTGGAAGCCAGGTGCAGGCTCCTGTGGACCACTGCAGGCATGGGCCCATGACCAGGCAGGGCTTCTCCCCCATAGGCATTCTGCCTGCCTTAAAGTGGGTGAGTCTTAGGGAGGACCCTGGCTTTGTCCACAGCTTCATTCCGATGAGAATCTTTATCAGGGGTTTGGTGGAACCAAGGCAGTTTAGTGTGAAACCAGAGTATTTAATTTGGTTAGAACTGTCAGCTGGCTGGACTCCACGGGAAAGTGTCCCAAGCTGGGCCTGGATGAACTACTCCAACCACTCAAAAGCCAGTGGCCAGGCCGAGCACGGTGGCTTACGCCTGTCATCCTAGCACTTTGGGAGGCTGAGGTGGGAGGATCACTTCAGGTTAGGAGTTCAAGACCAGCCTGGCCGACATGGCGAAACCCTGTCTCTACTAAACATACAATAATTAGCCAGGCATTGTGGCACATGCCTGTAATCCCAGGTACTCGGGAGGCTGAGGCAGGAGAGTTGCTTGAACCCTGGAAGTGGAGGTTGCAGTGAGCCGAGATTGTGCCAGTGCACTCCAGCCTGGGTGACAAAGCGAAACTCAATCTCGTAAAAAAAAAAAAAAGTCCAGTGGCCAGAGCGGTTGACTGGACACTACCTCAGCCCAGAAATCCATGTGGTCATGTCCTGTTGAAACTCTACCATGAGGAATGTGTCTCAAATTCCAGGTTGAGGGTCCTTCACCCTTGTGTGTGCTGTGTCCCCTGAGGCCCTTTGGAAATAATGAGAAAGGGCCATCTCTGAACCCCATCAGTTCTGAGATCAGACAGTGCCTCATGGGAAGTGAGTTTCCAGGGCCTCTGGGTGTCAGTAGGGGGCGCCTCCTGTCCAGAGGTAGCTCCAGCCCAAACACCAAGAGCCTCTTCAAGACAGACACTGCCATCCCACTGAATTCCAGACATCTTGCATCCGCCACTGAAACTTAACAACGCAGCTCAGATTTGCCTTGGTTGAGAGGGACCCAATCCACTAAGGCAGCTCCTGAAGCAGAAGGAGGTGGTTGGAGTCGCTCTGCTGGCCTTTCCATTTTAAGAAAGGTCCAAATAATGGACCAGCAAAGGAAGTTGAACAGAAGCTCACCACTAGACAGGCTTGGGGAGACCAGAGCCCAGGAAGCCAGAGGCCAACCCCGTTGTCCCTCAAATCCCACCAATTACAAACAAGTCATTCTTGTTTTTCCACTTCTGGTAGCAACTTCTTTTTTTTTTTTTTTTTTCTTTTTTGAGACGGAGTGTCACTCTGTCACCCAGGCTGGAGTGCAGTGGTGCGATCTTGGCTCACTGCAACCTCCGCCTGCTGAGTTCAAGCAATTCTCCTGCCTCAGCCTCCCGAGTAGCTGGGACTACAGGCACGTGCCACCATACCCAGCTAATTTTTTGTATTTTTGGTAGAGACTGTTTCCCCATGCTGGCCACGCTGGTCTCGAACTCCTGACCTCGTGATCCTCCTGCCTTAACCTCCCAAAGTGCTGGGATTACAGGCATGAGCCACTGTGCCTGGCCTCTGGTAGCAACTTCTATACATAAAATAGATAATAGATACATAGATGATAGATCTTAAAATATCAATATAGGTACTATTTTTATTAATTTACTTATCTTCTATCTATCTATCTATCTATCTATCTATCTATCTATCTATCTATCTATCTATCTATCTATCATGTATTCATTTACTGTTGCCCAGGCTGGAGTGCAGTGGCGTGATTATGGCTCATTGCAGCCTGAATCTCCTGGGCCCAAGTGATCCTCCTGCCTCAGCCTCTCAAGTAGCTGGAACTACAGTCACACGCCACCACACCTGGCTAACTTATTTTTTGCAAAGACAGGGTTTCACTATGTTGTCCAGGCTGGCCTCAAACTCCTGGGCTCAAGTGATCCTCCTGTCTCAACCTCCCAAAATGTTAGGATTGCAGGCATGAGCCATAGTACCCAGCCTTTATTTTCAACTTTAGACATTATCTATTGACTCTCTATATAACAAAGATTTAGCTTTATATTACTATTCTCAGTTCTTCTCCTCATAATATTCCACTGGGGATTAATTATTCCTCCTGTGTCGGCTGGCAGGGCAGAGCAGAGAGCTGGAGGAGCCTGTTTCGATGACATCCTGGAGCTGCCGTGCCAGCCCTGGGTGGACCAGGTACAGATCTCCTACTGCCTACAGACTTCATCCTGAGGAAGAAATAACTTTGTCTTATTTAAGATCACTGTCATTCAGGGCTCTGTGATTTCCTGTTGTGGCTGATACTGGCTGATACACACTGCTCTTACGATTTTTGCAAATGTTCTTCCATGACCTGGCCCTGCCTCTGAGCCTCGGCTTGCAACACCTCTTATTCCCCAGGTACGAGCTTCCATCCCTTGCCTCTCAGTAACCAGGCTGGAAGCTCTTGCACCAGTTGTTTCCTCAGCCTGGTATGCTCTTCTCCTTCCACTTCCTCTCACCAACATCCTTCCTCCCATCTCAGCTCAAATGTGAAGGCCGGGCGCAGTGGCTCATGCCTGTAATCCCAGCACTTTGGGAGGCCGAGGCGGGTGGATCACTTGAGGTCAGGAGTTGGAGACCAGCTTGGCCAACATGGTGAGACCACATCTCTACTTAAAATACAAAATTAGCCGGGCATGGTGGCACACGCCTGTAATCTCAGCTACTTGAGAGGTTGAGGCAGGAGAATCACTTGAATCTGGGAGGTGGAGGTTGTAGTGAGCTGAGATCGCACCACCGCACTCCAGCCTGGGCAATAAGAGCGAAACTCCATCTCAAAAAAAAAAAAATGTCAAGCCTCAGAGAGGCTCCTAAGCCCATCTAAATTAGGTCCCGTCCCCGGCTGGCATTATCTCCTATTCTTCTGCTTCACAAGACTTCATACTTACATATTTGCCATTAATACATTTTTGCTGTGTTTTTAAATGTTTGTCTCCCCCACTAGACTGTAAGCTCCATAAGGGAGGAATCTATGTCTGTTTTGTTCACTCTCATGAACACAGCAAATATAATAGGCAGTCTATAAATATTAGAAAAAAAGGATTGTAAAAAAAAAAAAAGAGGTATCTTAGTTCAGAGAGGTTAAGCAACAAGCTCAAGTTCACACAGCCAGCAAAGCAGGATTTGAACTGAGACTTGTCTGACTTGTCCTAAGCTCACCAAATCTGAGAATTTGCATTTTCTTGAACCATTCCCTTCAGAAGAAGAGGAGAATTGACTATCAGGTAAACACAGTGTCCAGTCTATTGGATGATTAAATTTCTCATTGAAAAGAAATTTTAATTTTTTTTTTTTTGAGACAGAGTTTCTCTCTCTTGCCCAGGCTGGAGTGCAGTGGCACAATCTTGGCTCACTGCAACCTCTGCCTCCCAGGTTCAAGCGATTCTCCTGCCTCAGCCTCCCGAGTAGCTGGGACTACAGGTGCGTGCCAGCACGGCCTGCTAATTTTTGTATTTTTAGTAGAGACGGAGTTTTGCCATGTTGGCCAGGCTGCTCTCAAACTGCTGACCTCAGGTGATCCACCCACCTCGGCCTCCCAAAGTGCTGGGATTACAGGCATAAGCCAGCGTGCCCGGCCAAATTTAATTTTTTAAATAGAGACAGGGTCTCAAACTCCTGGGCTCAAGTGATCCTCTCACTGAAAATTAGCAAGGTGAGGGGGGAGGAGGGAGGGATAGCATTAGGAGATCTAATGTTAAATGACGAGTTAATGGGTGCAGCACACCAACATGGCACACGTATACATATGTAACAAACCTTCACGTTGTGCACATGTACCGTAAAACTTAAAGTATAATTTAAAAAAAAAGAAAATTAGCAAGGTGAATTCTTCATGCTTAAGTTCCATTTTACTGTAAATTTAACCAGAATGAGATAGCCTCCCTGAGTGATCAACTCAGGGGTATGGGAAGTATCAAGTTACAAAACTAAAACCCAGACCCTGCCCTGGGGTAAATTTATCAATTTAGTGCCACTCATCAAGGCCTCTTGGGTCCCAGCCTGAAGGCCTCTCCATGGTGATAACCCTTGTGCTGAGAGCCATCTTTCACATTTCCAGTGGCTGCTCTCTGGGGTCGGAATGAGCTAGGACTCTCTTACTTCGTATTCTGTGCTAACAGTTTTCCCGGTAACATTACCACCCCCCTCCGGTTTTTGTTTTTTTTTTTGGTTTTTTGGTTGGTGGTGGGTGGGCAGAAATCACCCCTCTTTCCCACAGTACCCCTGCTGCCCCAGGCCTCAAGGATACATGTAACTCAAGCCAGGCCAATCAGATTCTCTTTCTTGAGTAGAGACACACAGTAACAAAAGGCAGTTGGGATTGAGTCATGAGAAGGGTGCACTTAGGGTGATGGTCAGCAAGTTCCTCAGGCCAAAGTCCTCAGAGCTGCCCTGGTTACCATTGTACCCTAGGCTTGTCATTCAATTCTTCTTTCAGACCAGTGGGTTACCCTGGCATCCTTTTGTTCTTACTTAAGTTAGAGCCAGTTTATTGCTGGCAGTCAGAGAACCGTAACTGATGGTGACATTCATAGGGAAGATGTTAAAGGACATGGACTCTCTCCTTTTCCCAGGAAATAAGAGGGGTTTTTGGAATTGGTTATGGAGGTAAGATAGGGTGAAGAGCATTGAAACTCCTGTTCCTATTCAGGGATGGGAAAGTAGCAGCCTTTGTACATCACTGGATACTTTTTAAAGCTAGACGATGGGGTGGGCACAGTGGCTCACGCCTGTAATCCCAGGACTTTGGGAGGCTGAGGCAAGCGGATCATTTGAGGCCAGGAGTTTGAGACCAGCCTGGCCAACATAGCGAAGCCCTGTCTCTACTAAAAATACAAAAAAAAATTTAGCAGGGCGTGGTGGTGGATGCCTGTAGTCCCAGCTACTCAGAGGCTGAGGCATGAGAATCACTTGAACGCAGAGGCAGAGGTTGCAGTGAGCCCAAGAGTGCGCTACTGCACTCCAGCCTGGGTGACACCCTGTCACACATGCAAAAAACGAAGCTAGAGGATGATCATTAAAATCCTCCCACCTCAAGGCATGGAACGAAATTCAGGACCTTTCTATTACTGGGTAGAAATTCCCTTATGGCTTGGAGCCATTGAGTTTGTTTAAAAACAAACCCAGAGTCTGATTCTGCAAAACTGCTAGATTCACCACCAATCGAATTCATAACCTCATTCGGTTTCAAAAAAAGGTGGCATCCTGTCAGCTGGATTAATGACATCTGGGAGTATTCAAAGGACATAAAAAGGACAACCCTCCAGAAATATTTCCTTCCTACCTCCACTACCAGGAAAGGTGTACCTCTCTCTTGCAGAAGAAAGCAAACACTTTCCCCATCATTCTCAGCAAAATATCACAAGGACAGAAAACCAAACACCGCGTGTTCTCACTCATAAGAGAGAGTTGAGCAATGAGAACACATGGACACAGGGAGGGGAACATCACACACCGGGGCCCGTCAGGGGGTGGGGGGCTGGGGGAGGGAGAGCATTAGGAGAAATATCTAATGTAGATGACGGGTTGGTGGGTGCAGCAAACCACCATGGCACATGTATACCTATGTAACAAACCTGCACGTTGTGCACATGTATCCCAGAACTTAAAGTATAATGATAATAATAAAAGAAAGCAAACAGTTTCCCTCCTGCCCCACACCACATGTTATACCACTAACCAGAACCCACACTTAGCATAAGCCAGGGGATGAGAGTCTTAATCAGATCAGGAAAGAGAAGAGTGATATTCTGAAGAAACTGCATGAACTGGCAAATATATTGTCAAAAAATATAGGGTACATTGGTGGACTTTTTTTGTTTTTTGAGACAGGGTCTCACTGTGTTGCCCAGGCGGGAGTGCAGTGGCGTGATCTCAGCTCACTGCAGCCTCCGTCTCCTGGCCCAAACAGTCCTCCCACCTCAGCCCCCTAAATAGCTGAGACCACAGGCATGAACCCCCACGCCTGGTTAATTTTTTTTTTTTTAATTTTGTAGAGATGGAGTCTCCCTATGTTGCGCAGTCTGTGGTGGACCTTTTAAAGGCTGTATGACCAAGATATAATTTTGGTTCAGGTTGTCTTTATTGATATGTTCACTCACCAGAGATTCTACATTCTACGTAAAAGCTCAAATCGCCAGATACTGTTATTACTATTTTAGGAGGGCTTGGCTAATACAAATCTGGACCAAATGTTGGCCCATGCTAAATTATATCAAAAGACCAAACATCCAAGAAAGGCAGGAATTCAAAGATTTCAGAAGATAAAAATGCTTGATTGGGTCCCTGGCATGCACCCAGCCCATCAACCCCCTCACTGCCCTCTGGCAGGACCCAGAAGATGAGCTCCCTTCTTGCCACGAGAAATACATTCACGAGGCTCTGCTGATTTTCCTCTCTAGGCCTGGGAGGCTGCTTGAAAGAGCTGCTGTGAACGTGGGCTCCCTGATCTCAGCAACAGAGATAGACAGAAGGAACAAAATAGGGCGCTCATCGTAAGGGATAGGGCATGGAAACCAGACCTCGAGCTGTGGGTCCCAGGAATGAAAAAGGCCAGACGCCCCTAAGATATGGCCTAGTAATGACCTTAACTAAAGACTTCTGGGCCAACAGTTCTGTCTCAAGTGCCAAGGTAAAGTCAAGATCTCCCACTTGATTTCCAGACCTTAAATGGAGAGGAAGTCAAATGTATTTTTGAAGGAAAAACTTATTTTAACACTTAGATGCATGTTGTGAACCTTCCTTGCAGCCTTCCCCAAAGAGGTCTGTATCCATTCATCTGGGACTACAGAAGGGACGGGAAATTGGCAGCTGCCCAGTGCCTTGGTCAAACATATGTGAATCAGAGTGGGAGATAAATCATGTGAAAATGCCAAGGTCTGCCCCTTCTATAAAGTTCTGGGGTTGAGGGATCTGTTTGAGGTCAGAATGTTTCCTTCACAATGTAGGACAAATGACTGTATGTCGAATCCCTCGCCACTAAGGCCTAATTCCATGCAATTTATGCCACTTTGGGGCATCTTGTTCTAACCCATTTACCAACTGACCTAGAAGACTGCCAGCTTTGGGGTGGGCCTAGAGCAGGCGAAGGCATTGCAGCTGGGAAAGTCTTTTGTGCAGCCGACGCTGCCATCAGGCCACGTGACCTGGCAGGTCAATGGTGCATGAGGTGTCTTTCCATGGGTGGCATACCGCGGAGCCATACATAGCTTGCGGTAAGTCCTGACAAGAAAATATGATACGGGAACCCAGGATTTGGAGCCAAGTGATGCTCTGGCCAAAAAGTAACCATTATCCTTGTACAAAATGCCCTTCTGGCTCACCACTGGGCTCTGGGAGAGCCTGAACACTTGGCCCTGGCACACTTGGTGGCCATGCTGCCCCTCGTAGTGTTATCTGACCGCCTAGCCATAAAGTCTGGCATGGCCAGTGCGTTCCATTATCAACGGTACACTGTCGCTCCAGGCTAAGGCTCTGAAGGCACCAGTGGGTCGTGTGTGGGTAGCTCACTCACTGTCCAGTGTTTTCACCTGTCTACACCTGTGGCTCTGAGAGGGGCAGTAATTTGTCTTGGCCCTTTTGGGCCCTTGTTCTGGATTTGGATTTGCTTTTCTAACCCATCATGCCTCTCCTGCCATCAATATCCATGGAATTCTCAAATGCCATAAACATCATGTGACCTCCTCACATACTGCACCCAACCAGAGAATTCACTTTACAGCTAAAAGAATAGTAACGGGTTGATGGGCAGGCATTCACTCATCTTGTCAGGAACCCACAAACCAGCAGCAGCTGTCTTGAGAGGGTGGTGAAATGGTTTGTTGAAAATTCAACTATGGCACCAGAAACAACACCCCGAGAGGCTGGGTCAGGCCTGCAGGAGGCAGCATGCGCTTGGAGCCGGCAACCATACCTGGCGCTGTTTCTCCTTCAGGGATAGGACGCAGTGTGGACATGGCCCTGCTATTGCTAGATCTCAATGCTTTTCTCATACCCGAGGTTTAGGTTTGGGACTGGGCTGGCGTGGAGAGTTTAGTCCCCCAGCAAGGAGCACATCCTCAAAGACGTAGTAGCTATTCAACTGAACTGGAAGCTGAGGCAGCCACCAGGCCACTTCAGGCTCATTATAAAGAAGTCATCGGAGTATCTAGAATGATGAACCCTATCAAGGGAAAATATGATTGCTGCTACGTAAAAGAGGGCAGGAGTAGAGATGGACATGGGGGGATTCCTGGAGTTTGTCCTGGGACTGCCAGTCCAATAGTAAATGCCTGTCACACAGGTAGGACCACTAATGAGCTTCAGAACTGAAGGTTTGGGTCCCTCCACCAGATCAAAAGTCCATCATCATAAACATGAGTTCTCATGACCAGTTCTAGAAATGGACTGTAGACTTTACCCATTCTTCCATTCTTGCTGGGTTATACAATTTTGGTTGAATATGGTTAATTTTACCAGTTAATCTACAGGTTGTAGAATTTCAAAATGGAATTGTGATAAAACTGAAAGAGGGAGATTATCCCTAATGACACTGGACTTTGGAGAATAGAAGCCGTGTCATTACCCCTGGAATTCGAAGTTAGATATGATCTTGAATTCCCTAAGCAGAGAGAAATGTGGTTTTGGTTACCTGTGGGAGAGTCGTCATACGTGAGATGGGAGAACAGCACGTGTGTTAGAAGCATCTTCAGGGTTTACCTACCAAACCCTTTCCACCCTTCCGTACTCCACCATTCCATGTGGCAAGAGTCCGCATCTTTTGGAAGACTGCCCCCCTCCCACTCTATGAAGCCCTGAGCTCCAGGCCAGGTTCTTTCACTTGGAATTTGAATCTTGAGTGGAAGGGGACCCACTAGAACCAATGGCAAGTTGGTGTTGATCTGCCAACCGCAGCAGCTCCTGGGAGGCAAGCCTCGTAGTTGCCCCAGCTCCCACCCTTCCCAGGGCCAATTAATTGTTCAGCTATTCTTTTGGTTTTGTGAGCTATCCCAGCATCCTTCCCATGAACGCTTTTTCCTTGCTTAAGTTGGTCCAAGTTCATTTCTGTTGGTCAAAACTCAAGAATCCTAACAAGTAGTCTCTCCTGAGATGGCCTCATACATCTTTGCCTCCAAACAGCTGCCAGCCCAGGGTCTGGCATAAAGTAGCACTCAGTATATGTCTGCTGAATGAGTGGGTGAATGAATAAATGAATGAACAGTACTCCAGCTCTCAGTTCACCAAAGTAATCTGGGTATACAGGCTGGGAGAGGTGGGGACACACTGGGGCAGAAGATGTGGAGTCACCTGAGCACAGAGGAGGTAGAGAAGTCAGAGATGTTACCATAGAGGGGAAATGTTAGGCAAGGGGAGGTTCCGGGTGGGGGTGGGAATGAAAAGCTTCTCTGCAGCTTGAGAAGCAGGAAATGGTCAGCAAGTAGCTGAGAGGCAGGTGCTGGTGGGCTCCTGGGCTGGTCTTGCTGTAGCCAGAGACACAGGGCGTTTCCAGAGCCCCCAGCTCTGTGCTTCCTTCCTGGGTGGCTTCCTTTGTGTTCCTCTTCTGAATGAAGAGCAATTCCAAAGGCGTAAGTCCCCAGACACCCTGCTAAGGGGTACACACCAGCAGCTCAGTTGTGCAAGCAGCACAAGCTGTCTTTCTGTGGCCACAGAAGGCTGCGACTGAACTTCGGTCCAGGAACCAAAATATAGATTCATTTTTCCAGTGGGCCTGGGACTACAGAATGCCCTCAGAGAGCCTGCCTGGGAGAGGGGGACCTTGACTCCACAGACCTCCAACCACACCAGATGAGGGCAAGCAGGGCACACAATGCTGCCTTTATTGCATTCCAAAGGGAGTAGGCTAGCTGCAGACCTACCCCATCCCAGGCCTCCAGGAGGGATGCTCTGGAAGGATCCAGGCTGCTGGGTCCTTGGGAGCCCATACATGAGGACCCAGAGCTGGGGCCCCAGGATCAAGAGCGATGGTTGGAGCAGGGGTCCTAATTCCCAGGCACAGAGACTCCCCTCCACCCAAGTGCATGGATAGACTGCATCCCTCCTAGAACACCCAAGTGTACTCCCCATGGGGAAGGGACCTAGCCCTCCACTCCTGGTTGAGAGGGGATGTGAAATTCACTGTGACCCCACCTCCTTTCAGTATGGAGTGCAAGGTCTCTCAGAGTCAACACCTCTCTCTGGCTACAGCTGCTGACACAACCCTCACACCAGCTCTCACCTCATGAGCAAAGAGCCCGAGAGAAGTTGGGGAAGAGAGCACTGAAGTGGGGTGAGAGGCCAGAGGGTCTGTTCCTCACCTGGGTATTGGTGGGCAGGGAGTGGGGAGCCCTCAAGCAAAGGGCCATGTGCAGAGCCATGAAGGGCAGGCAGCAGGCTGCAGCTGGGCCCCAAGACAGGGATGTGGCGAGGGGGTACAAGGGAGCATGGGAAGCAGGCGAGTGAGTGAAGGGGGAAGAGCGTGAACACACATCAAAGGCCACTGCACAAGGACATGACAGGCTCTGGAAGGGCCCTGAGCCCCATCTGGGCTCAAGGATGGTTAGTTGCAGGATAAGCTGAGATCAGTGAGCGAAAGTAGCTGGAAGGAGAAGATACCCTGAGAGTCACCAGGCCAGACCAGCAGAGGAAGTCTGGATCCCTGAGGACAGGCGAGATCAGGGCCAGGCAAATGCAGGAGGGTAAAAGTTGGCCTGCATGTCCTCACTCAGATTGTAACATCTGCTGCTGGACTGGGCTGGGGCAAGGGCTTGGGGTGCAGAACTCATGCAGAGGACTCAGGGGAGCCTCCAGCAGTGGCAAAGTGTAAACTTCAAGGAGGGCCTAGGTTGCCAGGCACTTGGAGGTGGGGACTGCTTGAGGCCCGGGAGCCCTGGGTGACAGTGGCACCAGAAGAGGCCAGTGGGCTATGTGCCATGCACCAAAGCCATCTGATGACGAGCTGATTCACGAGAGCCTGCTCAGAGAGGTCCCCAAGTGGTGTCTCCTTCGTGCACCTTCTCCAGTTAGTTCCATATTTGGAAAGTCTCCATCCAGTTCAAGCTGCTTCCTGGTTGGTCTGCTGCTGGGTGGAGGCCCCCAGCCTCTGCGGAGGCTACCGCATGCCCTGGGCCTTGGAGCCCTCCTCTTGGGTGGGAGGCTGTCCCAACAACTGAGTGGTGACTGGCTCTGAGGCCTGAGGGGTGGCCTTGGAACTTGGAGCACTCTTCCGGGTGCCCTGAGGACTAGGGAGGCCTTTCTTCTGGGGCTGAGGACTCAGCTGGGAGCCTTTCCTGCCAGCAGATGGACTCTTAGAGCCTTTGGCTTTGGCTTGGGGGTGGGCCGCCTCCGGGCCCTTGAGAGGTGTCAGCCCCAGCAGCTCACAGTAGGCATTGCACTGGTGGGAGGAGGCGAACCGGTCCAGCAGGGCAGGGAAGCAGCTTTCCTTGAGGCCCTGGTATCTGCAGCCAGACAGGAAGAGCTGAGTGGGGGTCCCAACCAGAGACACAGTTCCTTGGGGGGCGGACTCTGGGGTGGCCATCATCAGGATGTCGTGCTCAGGGTACATCCTACCTTATCTGAGGGTGATGGGGACTCTCCCTTGGTGCTACCTCAGGTGGCAGCAGCCAAAACCTCAGTTTTTCTTTTTAAAAAAATAGAGACAGAGTCTCTCTACTTGGCCCAGGCTGGTCTCAAACTCCTGGGCTCAAGAAATCCTCCCTCCCCAGCCTCCCAAAGTGCTAGGGTTAGAGGCGTGAGCCACCATGCCTGGCCCAAGGCCTCAGTTTTAAAACTGTGGTCTCATTACACCCTGACACATGGAATCCATCACGCAGGACTTTAAATGGCATAAGAATGGCTTAGCTTCTGAACATAAATTGGAGCAGACTCGAGGTCCGCACTCTCATCACAGGACCCTTACTCATCGGCACCTTGGCAACCATCCTCAAGCGAGAGGGGAGGAGTATGTGAGAGCTCTGGATTGCAGGGGACCCCATGTGTGGCATCAGTAATAGCTGCCACACCAGGCCAGAGATAAGGGGTGGGGACCAGTAGCCCCTAGGATGTTACCACATGGCCATGGGTGTGTCTGGGACCACTTGGCCCCAGGCCCAGCACCTCAGGGATGGAGAACCAGAAGGGCTTAGGACATTTTACACCCTGAGAAGACGCCCAGAGGGCATTCTGTCCCCAAGAACCACTCACCCTCGGAGTTTGGTAGCAATCTGCACATCAGTCATCTTCCAGTCAACCCCTGAAAAGAGAGAAAGTTGGGAGTTGATGCCAGTCTGGGCTGGCTCTAAGCCCCCACATCTCCAGCAGGAAGATATACTGGGTGGCTTAGAACCATGTCTCTTCCTGCTGGAGACATGGGGGCTTAGAACCAGCCCAGGCTGGCATCAACTTCCTGGGTGTCAGTGCAGGTGTGTCTTCAAGCATCTTCTCATGGGTCATCACCACCAGCCTGTCTCACAGCATGCAGGTCTCTGGATTATTACTAGGAATAATATTCATATTTTTACAAGTGAGGAGGATAGGCTCAGAGTTAAATGGCTTGAGCAAAGTCATACTCACTCATTCAATAATTGAGCTCTGGCCATGTGCAATGGCCATTTGACTTAAAATAAGGGTTCCGTTTTTTTGGATTCCTAGAGCCAAAACTCTTCCAGCTATGCAATCCTGCCTCTACTGGATCAGACCAGGTCACAACCTGGACCAGCCTCTAGCTTTGAGCTAAAACCTTCATCCTCTGAACAGATCAGTAGTCTGTCCAGACAAAAGAGAGGGATGGGAATGAGAGGATAAATCAGGGGTAGACCAGCAGAAATGCAACACTACAGAAGACTGGCTTCTGCACTACTTACAAAGGCAGCAAGCAAGCAAGAAGCCAAGATGGTCTTCCAGGTTAAGCCTTGGAAGGGCAGAGCCAGGCAAAATGATGATAGAGAAAAAACGTTTTCACTGTGCTCAGGCCACCCAGGTATCTTAGTATTCACACATTAGGTTTAGGATGCTCTTTCCCCCATTTTCAATCTGTCCAGAGCATTTTGCTAGGAACCTGCCTTTCACTAACAGGGCTGAGTACCATCATATGATAGACAATAACAAATGTGGCCTCTGGAGTCAGACAGACCTGGATTTACATTTCAGCTCTACCACTTCTGAGCTGTGGGTACTCGACAAGTCACTTCATATCTCTAATCTTCAAGTGTAAAGGTGAGGATAGTAATGACCATCTTACAGAGTATTGAGAAAATCATAATATGTGTAGGACTCTAACTTAGTGTCTGAAACATAGGACTAATGTGATAAATATTGATTTATTTGTCATTTCTCTTTTGGCATTCATAGCATTCCATTTTGTGTAAAAATGATGATCTCTCTCATTTGCACAGAATTTTAGTTTGCAGCAGGTTTTCACAAATATGGTCTCACTTAATCCTCATGAAAAATCTGAGTGCTAGGTAGGAAAGACATTATTCCTAGAAAGGGAAAGGAAACTGAAGCTCAGAGAGATTGAATGACCTAACCAGGGTGAGCTTCAGTTTTCTTCTTTGTAAAACAGACTCAGCTAGAAGAGAATGGGGCTTTGACTTAAATCAAATTTATTTTTTTCTTTATTATTTTTTTGAGATGGAGTCTCACTCTGTTGCCCAGGCTGGAGTGCAGTAGTGCAATCTTGGCTCACTGCAACCTCTGCCTCCCGGGTTCAAGCAATTCTCAAGCCCTGCCCTCCCAAATAGCTGGAATTACAGACAGAATTTTTGTATTTTTAGCAGAGATGGGGTTTTGCTGTGTTGGCCAGGCTGGTTTCGAACTCCTGGCCTCAAGTGGTCCACCTGCCTCGGCCTCCCAAAGTGCTGGGATTACAGGCGTGAGCCTCCGCGCCCAGCCGACTTTAAAGCCTTTCTACTATGCCACGTTATCGTCTCACAGTAGAAACTGGTCTACTCATCACAGCTTCTTGAGGACGATGACATTCCTAATTCAACTTTTTATTTTTTCAATATTTAGTAATGGTTGGATGGAAAAAGGATGGAAGCATGAGTTTATAAGTTAACAAATAGGTTGACTGATAATGGCTTAATGTTACCTAGCCCGCCCTCCCCCCAGTATATGGAGCTATATATATAATAATTATCGTACAATTTAACCCCAGTGAAACACACATTTGAGTCCGTTTTATATCTCTGGTCTCTAGTTTTCTCACTTATTTACCACAGAGACAAGATTTAATGATGTGTGATATTCCCAGCAACCTCTCCTTCCCCTGAGCATTTTCTCTGTTCCTCTCCTCTGTCCAGTTCTGCTTAATGACAGTAGGCCTGCAGAGAGCTGGTTGAAGAAGGAAGGAGGGTTCATGCCTGCTGGCCTTCCTTTGTTGGGGAGTTCTGGGTAATGGGGGGCGTAGGAATAAAACTAAAAAGAAGCTAGACTAAGTTGCTTTACATAACGAAAAGCTAACAAAGATGGAGGAGGAGGAGAGACAGTAAAGCTACTGGGCTAAAATGGAAGGGAGAGTTTGGGAAGCTTGGAGAGTGAGAAAGTCTAGAGCAAAGCTGCAGGGAAGGGAAGAAGGGAGGTTTTTGAAAAGGGTGGTTGTGGGTTTTGAATTAGACCC
The DNA here is from genome assembly GCF_000001405.40 of Homo sapiens. NCBI lineage: Eukaryota > Metazoa > Chordata > Mammalia > Primates > Hominidae > Homo > Homo sapiens. The sequence continues at coordinate 84,864,949 of NC_000015.10, read as the reverse complement.
CATGTAATGGTCTTTGAAATAAATTCCTTTTTACTTTTAATTGAGCCTGGACTGTGCTCCTTTAAATGCAGCTGCAGTGATAGACTGGGCTACATGAGGTATGTATTAGGGTTGCGAGCAAAATGTTCCGTGTCCAATCTACTTTACAAGATTATTGTGAAAAGCAAAAAAGAATAAAGACAAAGGTGCTTTGTAAACGATCAGCCAAGCACTATGGCTTTGCCTCCTCTGCATGCTTTCACATCCATGCACATGCGTACCCGTGCACCCTCACACCCTCGTACCTGCCAAGTCTGTGACAAGGAAGCTGCCATTTGTCCACTGATACAGCCAGTGTTGGAAGGTCTGGCATTTCTGCATGGCCTCAGAGCTGCCAGATGCTGTCGGAGCCTCAGCACAGCCCCATTCCCGAGAACAGTAAGACTCCAGGGGCTTGCCCAGGTCTTCCTCCAGGGTAGCATATGGGATATTGTTTGCAGGCCGGTAGATCAGATACAGTGGGATGATCCTAAACATAGTTTCACCCTGCAGTAAGCAGGAAGTATGGCCCAGAGAGCTCCTCCCTCCCACCCAATTCTGTATTCTTGGACCTAAAAGAAGGGCCCTTCCAAGAATGTAATTCTCAGCTCCGAGCCCAAAGGACAGCAAAGGAAAGCAGCTCCACCCTGAGTTTGGGAAAGGAAATGGATATTTTTGGCTTCAGAGTCCTGTCCATTCTCTTGGTCAGTGGGATTAGAACCAAACCCTGCTATGGGCATAGGCAGACTGTGTGGCTTGGGTGAGGGATTGAGGCATGTATGTGTCAAACAGAAGGAGCACCTTTAGAGAGGATTCAACCAGATTGTGGCTCTCTGCCAGTGGGACCCCAGGTATGCAAAGGTCAGAGTTCAAGTCTCAAAATGCAAACAATTGCCATTTATAGCTGACTCCTACAAAAATCCACACTGACCCTGCCTGCATACCACGGAAGTGTCCTGATCAGTCTGCCTAGCTTAACCCACCCCATCACCTTCATGGAGTCCCAGAAATTGCTGTGTCCAAACTCTGCAATCAGCAACATCTGCACTAAAGAATGAGGAACCGGGGTGGGCGGGACTCAAGTCCAGAGCAGAGGCTTTTCTCAAGTGGAGAGTAAATGAGGTCTCTATTTCTACATTTTGTGAGGCCACTGAGCTGAGCATGGGGCTGTGAGCCTATTTGCACATGGGCATAACGCAGGATGCCCCTGGGAGGCTGTGAAATCACTGTCTTTGCAGAAGCCCAAGGCAACAGTGCTGCACACTGCACGTCCTCCTCGCTGCGTACTTACTCAGGCACCTCCCCAAAGCCAGGCGCGGCCCGGGCTTCTGCTGCGAAGATTTTGCAGTACTCCCGACTCATGTTCTGGATCTTGCACCCCTGTGGATGAGGGAACCAAATGTGGTGAGCAAAGAAATTCCTCAGTCCTCCACTGTGTCTACCCCTAAGTGAGTGGGCTACCTATTCTGTTAGGGGACTGAGAGGAGGATTCCAGCCCTGGGGGAGGAAGGGCTTACTCCTCCCTGCTCCCCACTCTGCATCTCATTTTCCTCTTTTGTATAACAAGCGGCTTTGGACTTCTTTTCAAACTGAGGTTTTCGAAGTGATTTCTGAACTATTTTTGGGAGTCCTTATGGTATGTGACAGTGTCCCAGAGACCACTCTGTGTAGAGCCAGGAAGACTGCCCACCCCACCCACAGCACCCCCCTTTTATCTCACATATAAACAAGGCTTCCATGAGAGATTATGTATGGGGCAGGGGGAAGGTTTCTGCTGCAAACATAGAGTTTGAAAACTATGGCCCAAGTCGTTTTGAAGCTCTCAAGCTCTCTGAGGCCAAGCATCTGAATTCTGGGCTGCATCTCAGGCTTTCCACAAGGTCCTCCTAGGAGCCTCATAAGGTTGAGACTGAGATGCCTTCTGCCTCGATACTGGGCATCCTAACAGGACCTGGGCTGGGAAAGGGGAGGGGGTGAGAGAATAAAAGAATGGGGTGTGAAGATGGGACATAGTACCTGGATGGTGACGTCGTAGTTTCTGCCCACAAGAGAAGTCTCACTGCTGGGCCCAAACACAAGCAGGCTGGACACCTTGATGATGCACGTGCGGCCCGACTCGAAGATGGGTTCCAGCCCGTAGATGACCTTGGCCTGGGAGGCCTTCCGAAGGCCACACCCATATCCACCCCCTCGGAGCTCCTCGCTTACCAGTCGCCCAAAGAGCTTGTCCCCCCAGCAGCCAGAGTCAGCCAGACCCTTAGCAAACACCATAGGGGTCATCTCAATCTCTTCTCCAACTGAAGGGGAACAGGAGAAATGTGGGAGACCAGGAGCTCCTGTCTCACCAATGTGGGGCTCACAGGGAAGGAAAAGGCCAGAAGAGCCTCCCACCCTGCCAACCTGCTGGGCTCACTTTCCGTCCACGCCTGCTCTTTGGGCACATTAAGTCCCCACCAGACTATGAGCTCCTTGGGGCAGAAACTCTATTTGATTCAACCCCTGCCATCTAGCGGTACCCATGTGGTATCCATCACATAACCCCTGCCTTCCACAAATGCGTCCTAAGCACTGTCCAAACACAGTGCTCAGGATGTGTTTGTGGAAGGCAGGGGTTTTCTGTGGCAACAATAATCAATACAGAATACCAGAATTACTTTGTTTTGGAATTCGTTGTTTTGATCAGATGAATACATGACTCCATTTCAACCAACACGTTTGACTGAAACAAAAAGTTTGCAGGACCAATCCAGCAGCAATGAGCACCCCTAATGCTCAAATTGTGACCGCTAAATATAATTTCCCATTAAAGGGAAACCAGAGCTTTCTAAAGAAATGGTTGATTCCAGGTCTAGGCAGAAAGTGTACAGCAAGGACCTGAAATATCGTGTGAATCCAGAAAGCAAGAGAGCTAGCAAAAGCTATTAGAGACTTGGCAGAAGGACACAGGGGCCAACCTGAAGGGGCTCCCTTGGGCCAAAAAGGAAACAATCTTGGCAACAAAAATAATTACTGCAACATATTGAACATATCAAATATGTTAAAAATCCATGTATTCATAGTTGCAACAACAAAAAAAAGAATCCAATCTCCTCCCTCAAAAAATAAACCTCACTGGTCACCTATGGAAAACGGTAGGGTAGGGCACCAACTCGTTATTCTAAATTCTAGTAACTAAAGGGAAAAGAGCAAGTATTTATCCTTCATTTCCTGTTGGAACTTAACGTATTGGGATAACCAAATAATCATCCCTTTTTTACAGAAAAAAATCAGCTAATGAATGAAGAAGAAAAGACCAAATTAAACTATCTCCATGTTGCAACTGCTAATGAAATAATAGATTTAGGCAATAATCAGTGACTGCCAAAACCCCTAGATAACAATAGGGTTTGTATCAGATTGTTTTTAACTTTAAAAGGGGATGGATCACACAGATGCACCTGAATGAACCCAGTGACCAACCTTAACATTACTAAAAGTGAAACAATCTGACAGTATGTGCCTCCAGATAGGATGCAAAAGGTATACACAGCACCTGTGAGTTATTCTTGCCCCTCCTCCAAAAAAAAAAATCACACCTGAATCTGACCAAACCTCTAAATCTGATTACCAATTTGGAAGAAGCATTTAACATGTTAAATGGGAACACAATCAACAAAATCCAGAATGTTAGAAATTCTATACCAGTGACTTTAACAAACATATGGCAAAGGAAGAAAACAAATAAAGTAGGAGGAACTGTTAAATATTAAGAGAGACTTGGGAGCTGCATCAGCCAAAAGCAATGAGTGGTTCCTGATTCAAATAAACCAACGCATATGAGACAGTTGGGGAAATCTGACTGGATGTTTGATGATATTAAATAATTATTACTTAGTTTTGAGGTTGAGGTTTTATTTGATATTGATTAAATTTTATTTGATTACTAAACAAAAGTCACTAATTGGCACTTTGGGAGGCCAAGGCAGGTGGATCCCTTGAGGTCAGGAGGTCGAGACCAGACCTGCCAACATAGTGAAACCCATCTCTACTAAAAATACAAAAACGAGCTGGGCATGGTGGTGCATGCCTGTAATCCCAGGTACTGGGGAGGCTGAGGCACGAGAATTGCTTGAACCCAGGAAGCGGAGGTTGCAGTGAGCCAAGATCACACCACTGCACTCCAGCCTGGGCAACAGAGTGAGACTCCATCTCAAAACAAAGTCACTAGTTGGATGAATGAGTGATTGAAAGAGTGAGAGAATGAAGGAATTAATGCATTTGTTAGCAAATACAGCTCCAAACATCTTTTTATCACTGGCTGCCTTCACAGTCCCAAGCCTTAGCCTGTCTCTTGTAGGAGCAGTACGTGCCCATCCCTATTTGAGCCCTTCAAATGTGTATCAAACTTTGAAGGTATTTCATGATCACCAGGGGGCCTGCTGAAAACGCAATATTCCTAGGTCCCTCCTAGGTCATTAAAGATGTCTGCAGTGCAGCAGGGACCAGGAAACTGCATTTCTAGCAGGTTCCCTGTGTGAATCTAATACCAGGGTCCACAGAGCACTGTGAGAAACCCTGGGTAGGAGCTGGCAGGATAAGACATGCCCTGGTGGCCGGTTCTGCCCTGGATCAAAGACTCTGACATGGGCAAAGGGCACAAGGGTGAACTAACTCCTGTGCAGTGGCCCCCTTGGTCACTTCTTCCCCCATAATCTTCTGATACAGCAGTCCTCCTCCATCATCTCCCAAGCCATATCCTAAACTAAGAGGCAAAGAGGAGCAGTATGTGGATTGGGACCAGATTCCAAGCCCTTAAAGAGGGTCCTCCCTGCAGATGGCAGGGGTAGGACCACCCCGCCTTCCCCAGGGGGGAACCATACCTTCACCTTCTTCTCTGGAGATGAATCCTGACAACACTAGATACAGAAAAAGAAGAAAGCAGTGCCTTCAGGCTGCTGTGCCAAGAGAGTGCCTTCTCTCAAAGATGACTGCTGCCCACCCACCAGGAGCCAGGCCAGGCTGAGACCCCGGGCCGCGGGGCACACTCACCCTCAGGGCTGAGGCAGAAGTCGGTGGAGGCCGAGCCGTGCTCATTGTGGATGGTGCACCGATACACACCGCAGTCTACGGGGGAGGCCTGCACGATGGCCAAGGCCGCCGGCCCCTCATCCCCTGCGCTGCAGAGTGGAGACCCTACTCGTGAGGGCCATGGCATGGGGGCAGACTGTGGTCCTAAGCGTCCTTGGACCCCACTCTCAGAGGCTGCTGTGAACCCCAGCTCTGAGAGCTTTGGGGAAGCAGCGCGATTCCAGGGCCAAGAGCTGGTCCTGAAGCCCACAGGTCTGGTTTGCAGTCCTGACAATTACTAGCTGTGTGGCTTTGGACAAGTGGCTTAAAGAATGCTGAGCCTCCATTTTCTCATCTCTACTATGGGAATAAAAGGACCTCCCCTGGTTATTGTGAGGATTAATGAGGCGATAGGTTCAAAGCACTAGGACAGTGCCCAACGGTATTACTGCAATCAGGGAGCCAGGTCAGGTGGCAGTGGTGTCGTTGGCTTACCTCCTGCCCACCTCGCCCACTGGGCGCTGATCCTTGGCCCATGTCAAGACTGAGTCACTAAGAATGTTGAAAAACTGGCACCACAGCTTCAGGCTACCGGAGGCATCAGGAAACTGCTCCACCCGAATCTTCCGGATCACCTGTGGGGCTGAGAGCAGGGCCCAGTCAAGAGGGGAACACCACCTCTCCTCTGGCCATATCCTTGCTCTCCTGGGTGTCCTTGGTGGAAAAGGCTGGGAGAAAACAGGATTCAAGTCTCCACACAGACCTACCACTCACAGCCCCCCGGTGCCTCCTGCCTATATCTCAGGCTTCTGCCCTGACCCCCAAAGCACACATCTCAGCTAGAGAGAAGCCCCTACTCCACCTTGACCCCAGGCTGGGAGGGGCTCCCAGCTGAGGACGCAGACAGCAGTTGAGACAGGAACTTCAGTTTGCATTCTAGGTCCCTAACTCTGGAAGCCTGCATTTGAATCCTGTCCCCACCACTCTGTAATCATGCGACATCTCTGTAAAGGGGGACTGAATGGTGATGATGGAGAGCTAGAACGCTACTAAAGCCAGGCCCTGTGCTAAGCACTTCATCTATTCCATCCCATTTAAGCCTCATGCCATTGCAAAGGCGGTACTGTTATCTCCACTCTGTGGAGTGGCAGAATCAAAACAAGAACCAGGCCTTAAAGGCTGTGAGAGAAGGGTACCTTTACCAAGGTAATTTATGAATCCCGAGGAGGGATATGCTATCTGTCATGGGGTAGTGCTGTTAGCAGCAGCAGCAGTGTGCTTTCTGTGGCCCTGTCCTGTGAAGCCATCCCTCTCCCTCCCCACTGCTCACCTTTCAGCAGGTCTTTGGCTTTCCTGGGCTTGGCCAGTGTCTCCTGCTTGCCTTCATCCAGGGCCACCTCTGTGTCCAGACCGCCGGCCTTGGGGCTGGGGCCCAGGTCTCCTGCCGCCAGCTCCTCCTCTGCCCGAGGCACCTCCAGCATGCTCGCCTTTCTGCCCTGCGTAGGGGAGCGTCTCTCCCGCCCTGGAGTCCCTGGGGACCCAGGCACCAGGCTTTTCCTGGGCCCCCGGGGGGAAACCGTGGGGCTCTCCCTTTCTTCAGGTGTGGTTGCCTCCCCGTCTCCTGCTGCTCTGACCTTAGGGAGAAATCTCTTCCTCCGGGCCCCTAGAGCCAGTTCCTCAGGTGTAGCTGCCGGGAGACCTGTCAGAGCCTCCCCTGGGAACTTCTCCTCTTGGGAGGGCTCCTGGGCTATGCTCTCTGCTGAGGGCCCCTGTCCAGGGGCTGCCTGCCCACCCGCCTCCCCCAGTCGACCAGCCATGCTGCTCTCCTGAGAGGCCCCCAGGAGGCCAGGCCCCTCAGGGGAAACCTCTCCTTCACCCTCACTGGCTCCTTCTGAGGCCAGCCCAGGGTCCTCCTCGTCTACCACAATGGCAGGGACAGTGAGGGAGCTGGGACCAGGACCCCAGGAGCCTCGGGCAGCAGCAAGGGCCTGGCGGCCAGCCTGCACCTCACGGTCCAGGAGGCCGGTGAGGCGGCGGGAGGTACAGGGGCTCAGCAGCAGGGTCTGTGCACTCTGCACCAGGTGGTTGTTCTCCACACGCTCCAGGATGCGCCTCGATGTCCGGGGACTAAGCCCAGCCACTTCCACAGTGGGTGTCAGAGTGGCTGAGGGCACCAGACCTCCGGTGGCTGCCCCCACCTGGGACTCTCCCCCTGCTCCACTTGTCTCTGTGCTGGACAGCTTCAGCAGCAGAAGCAGGTAGTTCTTCAGGGAATCTATGAGGCCAGGGTCACAGCTCCGGGGACCTGGGGTCCGCCCCTCCACATCTGGTACCTGGGCGCAGGCCCCCTCACTGCTGGTGGCCATGGTTTCTGGTGGGTGACTCTGAGTGGGGGTCCCCAGCCCCAGGTGCAGTGTTGGGGCAGAACTCATCAGGACCTGATCCTCAGAGGGCAGGAAGGTGGCTGTGCTCCCGTGCTGAGAAGTCGGGGTGCTACACGGCCCCGCCTTTGGGCTAGCTGTCAGCCCAGTTCCAGGAAGAGAAGGCATCGTGGGTACCTCCTGGCTCAGGCCAGCTAGAGGACAGCCACCCTGATCCATACACGGCACTCCCCCTGGCCGCTCCTCCTTGGGGCACTGGAACGGGCTGTCCTCCTGCTTGGCCTCGACTGGGCCTGATGACTGTGGCCCTCGGCATCTCTCTCCTCCCACCTGCTCCACACTCCCCTCATGGGGCGGCTGTGCTGGGAGCATGAGGTTCCCTGACAGGGGACCCAGCACAGTTTGCTCATGGTTCCTGGAGGCTGTTACTACTGCCTCCTCAGATCTGGGCAGGCAACCAGGTTTTTTTGGGAAACAAGACCCTTCTGGGGTCTGTACAAAACATTCAATATTCAGAGGAGCTCTAGGACCCGCTGTAGGTGGGAGTTTGGGGGTTCTGGATGGTGGGCCGAGGCTGGTTGCCACCTCTTGCTCAGACTGACCTTCCATGGCTGTGGGCGCGCTCCCCTCTGACTGCGTCCCCTTCTCTCCCTGCATCCCCTTCTCTCCCTGCATCCTTCTGTCTTCCTGTGTGCCCTTATCTGCCTGGGCCTTCCTGTCTTCCTGTATCTTCTCACCTGCCTGTGTTGTTTCTAGCTGTGTCTCTGCCCTTCCCTGTGTCATCATGCCCTTCTGTGCACTCCTGTCTGACTGTGGCCTCTTGCTTTCTTGTGTCCCAGCATCCACCTGCGTCTTCCTATCTGCACGTGTCCTCTGGGCTGTCTGTGTTCCATCTCCCCTGGTCCTTCCATCCACTTGTATCTTCCCATCTGCCTGCACATTCTTCTTGCTTCCAGTTCTCTGGTTAGCAGATGTTCTCCCATCCTCCTGGGTTTCCATATCCATGGGTTCAATGATACCTTGACTTCCGGAAGTGCTAACCCCAATGGAGGCTACATCAGAGCTGCTGCTGGCCGACATGGTAGGAGCCGTGGTTGTCTGGCATTCCAGGACCTGAAAACAGAGGGACAAAAGCAAGGATTTAACTACATGGACATTCAGATCTCTTTCCAGTCTGGCATCCCAGTCTCCTCGGACCTCATCTACAACTGCTCTGATGGGAATCTTGCCTCCTGGTTTCTCAGGCCTGCTGGAAGTTGGGAGGCAAAGACATGTGACAAATGCCCAAAGCCCCATCCATGCCCACTCACCCTAATCTCTGATCTCAGAATCTGGACTGGGGAATATCTAGCACCCAGACCCAGCTCTGGCCCTTTCCACCTCTTCCTGAAGAAATCCTGCCTTTCCTGAAAGACCTTGCTCATGGGTTATTCCACCCCTCACCCCTACCATATGAAGGAGACTGTCCTCTCCCCAGGGCTCCCAGAGCAGTCCTTCTCCTGTGGCACTAATTGCCTTGGATAGAATTATGGGTGAAGTGAGAGAGTGCCAAAGGGTGTCCCAATAATGGCCTCAGTGACAGCATCCACCAGTAACATTGAGTGAGTGATAATAATGGATGCCATCCAAGCAGAGAGGATTAAAGTAATTCTGAATGGCATCTATGCCAGGAAATTAATGAAACATTATAATGTTACCCTTTTGAACATCTACTTGCAAAGCACTATGCTAGGCCCCTGTATATGATATTACCCCACTTACTCCTCATACAGTATGAATACTTAGGAGAATCAGCCCCATTCTAGAGATAACAATGACAAGAAGGCATGTGATCTGTCCACCGTCAGGTAGTCAGTAAGTGGCAGAGTTCAGATTCGCAGCCGGGTGTATCTCACTCCAAATCCCATGCTCTTTGTTGTTATACCATAACGCCACCTACTTTTAAAGGACTTCCTGTCAAACATGGTGGCGTACAACAGTGATTTCCCTTTTTTCCTCCAAGATATCATCAAAACCAACAAAGTAAACATGAAATAAACAAAGCAAACTCCTTTGTTAGTGAAACTGGAGGCAAATAAAACCTACAGTCTCAAAAAACAAACAAAAGGATAACAGCTGCCAAAAGCCAACAGATGCAGACACTGGGAAGCTGAGGAGGAGCAAAGTGATATGGGGAAATAAACAGGGCCACAGCTCAGCGGGAGGAGAGTGGAGCTGTTCAGCAGGTCTCAAGACGCCGGCAAAATCACGGCTACTGTAGACAAAGGTCACCCCAAGGTTATAAACCCGTAAGTCCACGTGCAACAAGAGCTGCAGGGTCATGGAGGCCTGGGTGGAAACTGGCCGAAGACACGGCAGATGAGCAGAGCAGACAAGGAGAGGAGATGGAATGGAGGCAGATCTCAGAAAACGCTGGCAGCTACACTCCTGAAGAAACCTCCGGAAAATTGCTAAGCCGAGAACATTGTGTTTTAGCATACAAAGACTAAAGGAATATTGTTCCCACAAGCCCTGCTTGAGGAAATCACCAGGGAACAAATGTAGTCAACCAAAAGATGATTGAGAAAACAACAGCAAAAGAGCTGACGGTAAGCACTGAACATATTTCACTTACATTAACATATATATTAATGCATATTAACATATAACTGTAGAAGCAAGACTAAAATCAAGTGGGGTTTAGAATGGCAAATCAGAATGTCAATGTTCTATGCCCTGACGATACAGAAACAACACAGCCAGCACGAAAGTGGAAAGGGGAAGAAACTTCCTTGACTGTGTCACCTGTAAGAGCCAGGCACCAAAGACATTACTCAAAGCTGAAAAACCAAGTAACAGAAATAGAGGATATTTACCTAAATAAAGATAATCACTTAGAAATCAAACTTTAGGCCAATATGAGATAGAAAATGAATGAAGGCCAGGCACAGTGGCTCAAACCTGTAATCTCAGCACTTTGGGAGGCCGAGGCAGGCAGATCATCTGAGGTCAGGAGTTTGAGACCACTCTGGCTAACATAGTAAAACCCCATTTCTACTAAAAATACAAAAAATTAGCCAGGCGTGGTGGTGCGCATCTGTAATCTTAGCTACTCTGAGGCTGAGGCAAGAGAATCGCTTGAACCCGGGGGCGGAGGTTGCAGTGAGCCAAGATCGTGCCAGTGGACTCCAGCTTGGGCAACAAGAGTGAAACTCTGGCTCAAAAAAAGATGAATGAAGAAAATGCAGAGAAGAAGTGAAAACACTGTATCATTTTTCATCATTAAAAATTAGTAGAAACTGAGTGAACAGATGAAATAATTAATGGTATTATATAAAACTGAAATTATAACATATAAATATTTTTAAATATCAGAACCACACACAAAATCAAAGGAATAAGATCACAAAATGAAAGACTTTTAAATATACATAATTAAAATATATGTAAATTAAGTGTAGAATTTAAAGTTACTTTACTAAATTAGGAATTTTCTGTTTTTCAAATTTTAAATTTTTAAATTTATTTTATATTTTAAAATTAGAGATGGGGTCTTGCCATGTTGGCCAGGGTAGTCTCAAACTCCTGGCCTCAAGCAATGCTCCCACCTCAGCCTCCTAAAGAGCTAGGATTATAGGTGTGAGCTACTGCACCCAGCCTAAATTCAGAATTTTGAATGAATGTTATCGATGTGGGAAACATTAGAGTTTGGCGAATATCAGGAATAAGTCTGACTGAAGGATTTTTTTTTTTTTTGAGACAGGTTCTTGCCATCTTGCCCAGACTGGCATGCAGTGGCTATTTATAGGCAAGATCATAGCCTCAACCTATTGGGCTCAAGTGATCCTCCCACCTCAGCCTCCCAAATAGCTGGGACTACAGGCTGACTGAAGAATCTTTTTTTTTTCTTTTGAGACGGAGTCTCGCTCTGTCACCCAGGCTGGAGCGCACTGGCATGATCTTGGCTGACTGGAACCTCTACCTCTCAGGTTCAAGCAATTCTCCTGCCTTAGCCTCCCGAGTAGCTGGGATTACAGGCATGTGCCACCACGCCCAGCTAATTTTTGTATTTTTTAGTAGAGATGGGGTTTCACTATGTTGGCCAGGCTGGTCTTGAACTCCTGGCCTCAAATGATCTACCCACCTCGGCCTCCAGAAGTGCTGGAATTATAGGCATGAGTCACTGCACCCGGCCTAACTGAAGAATCTTAATAAAAATGCTCTTCCAACTTCTCTGACAACCGGATATTAACAGACAAAACTGCCTTGGTGCCAAGAAACAGCAATTAGTAATATATTAGAGCCTCTTTTTTATCTTTTGATATTCTAGGATTAGAAAATGTTAATAAAGACATAAGATCTATAAATCTACAAAGAAGGTGCAGACTGTGCATACAAGACTGTTGCTGTTCACAAGACTCACGGAACTAGAACTTCTTGATTAAAGCTACCTTCACTCCTAACGCACTCTCAGCCAGATCAATCCCTCAGTTCTATTGAAACTACTTCTTCATTATCTCAATATCCATTTCCTTCATCTCCACTGCCAACTGCCTAATCGGATCTGCCAACAATTCTGTCTTGCCTGGACTACTGTAAAGCCTCCTAATTGGTATCCATGACTCTAGTCTTTGCCTCTGCTAAACTCTTTTCCTCACTGCAGCCCAAATGACCTTTCCAAAACACAAACCTGACTGAAACACTCCCCTCTTAAAAAACCTTTCAATGGCTTATCATCACTGACAGGATAAAGCCTAAAAGACCTAGCTTCAAAGAGCAAAAAGTTTAATCACACAGTAGCCCCTTCTTATTCACGGTTTCGCTTTCCGTGGTTTCAGTTAACTGTGGCCAATCTTGGTCTGAAAATATTAAATGAAAAATTCCAGAAATAAACAATTGATAAATTTTATAGGTCATTTCAAAGAGGCTGCAAAACCAAGAGCTCTTAACGCTGTGAGCAAAGATGGAAGTTCTCTCTAGGATGCCATGGCACTCGATGGTGGTATGTTTTCCTGGGGAGATATAAGACATAGGTGTTATATGACATAGTAATCTATGATTGTTGCCATGGGAGAGTTTTAAAGATTAACCAAAGTAAAAAGAAAAAACAAATTGTAAACTTTGCACTGTTCTGAGCAGCATGATAAAATCTCATGCCACCCCACCTGGGATGTGAAACAGCCCTTCGTGCAGCATAGCCACCAGGTATACACTAGGTTGCCCGTTACCCATTAAGTAGCTGTCTTGGTTACCAGATCAACTGTCCTGGTATCTCAGGGCTTGCGTGCAAGTAACCATTATTTTACTTAATAAATGGCCCCAAAGCACAAGAGTAGTGATACTGGCATATTACTATAGTTGTTCTATTTTATGATTATTGTTGTTAATCTCTTACGGTGCCTAATTTATAAACTAAACTTCATAATAGGTGTGTATGTATAGGACAAAACACAATATATATAGGGTTTGGTACTATCTGCAGTGTCAGGCATCCGCTGGGGATCTGGGAAAGTATCTTCTGTGGATAAGGGGGACTGCTGTACTCTCTTGGCCAGGGTTACAGGCATCGCACAGCCTCTACAGACGGCAATTTGGCATTATCTATTAAAACTAAAAATATTTATACTCTTTAACCCAAAAATTCCATTCCTAGGAATTAATCGTACAGGTATACTTTCATGTGCAGATGGACTTATATACAAGGATATATACTGCAGCACTGTTTAAATTGCAATAGACTAGAAATCACCTAAATTCCAACAATACAGGATTGATCCAATGAATTATGGTATATCCATATTCCAAATAAATAAAACAAACATCCAAATAAAAAAGCAAGGTAAAGGATAGAAAGTATAATATGCAACCTTTGTGTGGAAAATACACAGACACACACACACGTATTTTCAAATGTAAAGAAAATAGCTCTGGAAGGATGCCCAAAGAACCTGCTTTGGTAACTGCCTTCAGGGAGAGGACCTGAGCAGTGGGGATAGGGAAGTGGGGAGACTTAATATTCTCTATGTATCTTTTGTACTTTTTGAATTTTATACCTTGTGCATGTGACATACAGTTAACAAAAATACAATTAAAAATGAAAATATATAAGGAAATCAACCCTTGTGTGATCAGTGAGGCCCGTCCCTCAGCAAGAATCCCAGATCTGTTTCTCCAGGTTCATCTCTTGGGTCCCTCCGCCCAACACTAACTTAACTGTACTGACAACTGTGCTATTTAGTAACTCTTTTATGTACTTTTTTCTGTACCAGACATTCTCACCTACTCCTTGACCACCTGAAGGACTCCTTCTCATCCTTGAAGACCTCACTCAAGTTTCTTTTCTTCTTTAAAGACTTCCTGAGTTCCCTCCTCTACCCCAAAAAAGTTAGTGGCCCCCATAGCAAATTTACTAATTCCATCATTATACCCCCATTCTGTGTGGTATTTATTTCATGCATATGTCATCTGCTAATCTGTGAATTCTTCCCCTTTGAAGAGGGCCCAGTACAGGCCTGGGAGTTGGAAATCAATAAATACATGGTGGATGACTGAATATTCTCTGTACACTTCTACAAGGGCTGACCCCTCTAACTAAACATTATGACAGAGGGTGTGTGTGTGTGTGTGTGTGTGTGTGTGTGTGTGTATATCTGGAACTGTGTAAAGATATGAGAAGGAATGTCATATGTTTCTTAAAAATAAAAATGGTGTGAGCAGAATGAACCTAGTTGGCTCTATGTAAGCTTTTTTACTACAAGGGATATTAGGAGGTTTAATTTGCCATGCTGTCTTTTTCCCTCTTCCCTCATAAATTCTCAGATATTAAGGACTCAGTGTATGGCCAGATATGGTTGCTCATGTCTAGAATCCCAGTGCTTTGGGAAGCCATTGTAGGAGAATTGCTTGAGGCCCAAAGTTCAAAACCAGCCTGGCAACACAGCAAGACCCTGTCTCTACAAAAAAAAAACAAAATATTTAGCCAGGTGTGGTGGCATATGCCTGTAGTCCTAGCTACTCTGGAGGCTGAGGTGGGAGAATTGCTTGAGCCCAGGAGTTCGAGGCTGCAGTAAGCTATGATTATGACACTTGCACTCCAGCCTGGGCAATAGAGTAAGACCCTGTCTCTTAAAATAAAAACATAAAAATAAAAATAAAAAGTTTTATTCACCTTTGCATTCTTCACAGTACCAAACACATAAGGGGTTCACAGGAATGAACAACTGAATGAAAAATAGTATGGTTTATAACCCTCTAAGGGGGCATGGCCCTGGAATGCTGGTTTGGAAGAGCAAGGGACAAAACCAGGACCTTAACAGGGATGGGGCAGGGCAGTCATTTTTGCATAAGTTTTGGTAGTTTATAATTTTTAAATAACTGCTCTATTTCATCTAAGTTGTTAAATTTATGTGCAGTTTTTCATAGTAGTCTTTTTTTTTTTTCACCCTGTCAATCCTTACAGGGTCTGTAGTGATATCCCCTCTTTCATTCTTAATACTTGTATTTTGTGTCTTCTTTTTTTTTTTTTTCTAAGTCTTGCCAGAAGTTTATTGATATTATTGATCTTTTCAAATAACTAGCTTTGGGTTTATTTTCTCCATAATTTTCCTGTTTTTGGTTTCATTATTTTCTGTTCTTTTCTATCTGTTTGCTTTGGATTTATTTTTCTCTTCTTTTTCTAGTTTTCTAAGGTGGGAACTTAGGTTATTGATATTTCAGATCCTTTTTCTTTTCTAATATAAACATTTTAATGCTATACATTTTCTTCAAGGCACTGATTTAGCAGCATCCAACATTTTGGTATGTTGTATTTTCACTTTCATTCAATTTAAAATGTTTTCTAATTGGCCTTAGGACTTCTTCCTTGGCCCATAAAAGTATGTTCTTTAATTTAAAAGTGTTTAGAAATTTTTCTATTATCTTTCTGTCATTGATTTCTAGTTTAATTTCATTTTGGTCAGAGTACATACTTTGTATTATTTCAATTACTTCACATTTGTTAAGATTTATATTATGGTCCAGGATATAATCTATTTTGGTGAATATTTTATATGCACTTGAAAAGAATGAGTATTCTGTTGTTACACAGAGTATTCTATATATGTCTATTAGATAGTTGGTTGCTGGTGCTGTTCAGTTCTTTTATATCCTTACTGATTTTCTGTCTACTAGTTCTATTGATTACTGAGAGAGAGGAGTGTTAAAGTCTCCAACTATAATTATTGTTTTCTGTATATTTCTACTTTCAGTTCTGTCAGGTTTTGCTTCATGTATTTTGAAGGTATGTTGTTAGGTGCATACACATTTTTTATTGTTATGTCTTCTTGAATTGACCCTTTTATCACTAGATAGTTCACTATTTTTCTCTTAGTAATTTTTTTTTTTTGAGACAGAGTTTTACTCTTGTTGCCCAGG
Source organism: Homo sapiens (assembly GCF_000001405.40). Classification (NCBI taxonomy): domain Eukaryota; kingdom Metazoa; phylum Chordata; class Mammalia; order Primates; family Hominidae; genus Homo; species Homo sapiens. The sequence continues at coordinate 84,849,113 of NC_000015.10, read as the reverse complement.
CTGGAGTGCAATGGCGTGATCTCGACTCAACGCAACCTCCACCTCCCGGGTTCAAGTGATTCTCCTGCTTCAGCCTCCCAAGTAGCTGGGATTACAGGCATGCACCACCATGCCTGGCTAATTTTTGTATTTTTAGTAGAGATGGGTTTTCTCCATGTTGGTCAGGCTGGTCTCGAACTCCCGACCTCAGGTGATCTGCCTGCCTTGTCCTCCCAAAGTGCTGGGATTACAGGTGTGAGCCACTGCACCCAGCCAGTAATTTTCTTTCCTCAGAAATCTACTCTGTCTGATATTAATATTGCCATTCCAGCTTTCATCTGATTAGTGTTTGCATGGTATATATTTTTCTATTATTTTACTTGTAACTGACCTATATCACTATATTTGAAATGGATTTCTTATTGACAGCATCAAGTTGGGAAAGTTTTTCTGGTCCTGTCTCACAATCTGTCATTTAATTGATATGCTCAGACCATTTATAGTTAATATAATTATTTATAGGTTTAGATTTTACTCAATAATTTTACTATTTGTTTTCTATTTGTTTCCTGTTTTTCCTTCCTGTGTTTCCCTATTCTTGCCTCCTTTTAGATTAGAACATCTTTTAGTATTCCACTTTAACTTACGTAGTGTGATTTTTACTATATCTCTTTGTATAGTATTTCTGTTGTTGCTCTAGGGCTTACAATATACATACTTAACTCTCCACAGTCTACTTAGAGTCAATATTTTACCACTTCAAGTGCCATACAGTAATCTCACCATCATATAGGTCTCTTTACCCTATGCCCCTTTATGTTGTATTTGTCTTATATATTATATTTGCATACATTAAAAAAACTCCAGCAATGTAATTTTTTTTTTTTACTTTTTACCTTCAAACATATTTTAAAGAAATCAAGATGAAATAATCTATTATATTTACCAGGATATTTACCATTTCCATTGCCCTTCTTTCATTCTTGATGTTTCAAGTTTCCTTCTGGTATTATTTCCTTTCTCTATGAAAAATTTACTTTAGCAATTCTTTTTCTTTTTATTTTTTTTTTTTTGAGATCAAGTCTGGCTTTGTCACCCAGGCTGGAGTACAGTGGTGCAATCTCAGTTCACCACAACCTCTGCCTCCTAGGTTCAAGTGATTCTCTTGCCTCAGCCTCCCCAGTAGCTGGGATTACAGGTGCCCCCCACCACCCCTGGCTAATTTTTTTTGTATTTTTAGTAGAGACAAGGTTTCACCATGTTGGTCAGGCTGGTCTCGAACTCATGACCTCAGGTGATCCACCTGCCTCAGCCTCCCACAGTGCTGGGATTACAGGCGTGAGCCACAGCTCCCAGCCTAGCAATTCTTCTAGAACAGGTCTGCTGACAATGTAGTGTCTTGTTTTTTCCATTATCTGAGAATGTCTTTATTTCACTTTCAATACTTAAAGATATTTTTGCTAAATGTAGAATTATAGGTTGAAAGTTCTTTTTTTTAGCATTAAAAAAAAATGTTGTTCCACTTCCTTTTGGCCTCCATTGTTTCTGATGAGAAATCTATAGTCATTCAAATCATTGCTTCCCTATAAATAATGTATTATGTTTCTCTGGCTACTTCCAAGAGTTTTTCATTGTCTTTACTTTCCAACAGTTTGGCTATGAGGTTTCTGGATGTGGAATTCTATGGGCTTTTCCTGTTTAGGGTTTGCTGAACTTCTTGACTTTTGCCAAATTTTGAAAGTTTTCAGCCATTATTCCTTCAGATATTTTTTTCTGCATCACTGTCTTTCTCTTTCTCCTTCTGATTATCCAGTGACACAAATGTTAGACTTTTTGATACAGCACTCCAAGTCTCTGAGGCTCTGTTCATTGATTTTTCTGATTCCTCTCTCTCTCTCTCTCTCTCTCTCTCTCTCTCTCTCTCTCCCCGTTTCTCCCTCCCTTCCTCTCTCTCTGTGCGTGTATGGGCGTATGTGTTCAGATTGAATAATTTCTATTGCTTTAACTTCAAGTTCACTGTCTTCTCCCTGTCACCTATCACTCTGTTGTTGGGCTCAACCAGTAAGTCTTTTTATTCAGTTATTGTAAATTTCAATTCTAAAATTGATATTTGGGGCTGAGGTGAGTGGATCACCTGAGGTCAGGAGTTCAAGACCAGGCTGGCCAACACAGTGAAACCCCTGTACTAAAAATACAAAATTAGCCAAGTGTAGCGGCACACGTCTGTAATCCCAGCTACTCCCTCAGGAGGCTGAGGCAGGAGAATCTCTTGAACCCAGGAGGTGAAGGTTGCAGTGAACCGAGATCATGCCACTGCAGCGTGCCAGGCAATCCAGCCTGGGCAACAAGTGCAAAACTCTGTCTCAAAAAAATAAAAAATAAAAAATGAATAAAATTGATATTTGGTTCTTCATATCTTTTACCTCTTTTTGTTTGTTTGTTTGTTTGTTTTGAGACAGGGTCTCCCTTTGTCCAGGCTGGAGTTCAGTGGCGTGATCTCAGCTCACTGCACCCTCAACATCCTGGGTTCAAGTGTTCTTCCCACCTCAGCCCTGCAAATAGCTCAGACTACAGACACACACCACTATGCCCAGCTAACTTTTTTGTATTTTTTGTAAAGACAGGGTTTTGCCATGTTCCCCAGCCTAGTCTTTTACCTCTTTGCTGAGACTTTCTATCTTTCCATTTGTTTCCAGAGTATTCACCCTTACTTGCCACATTTTTATAGTAAAGTCAGATGATTTTAAAGTCAGATGATTCTAACATCTGTGTCACTGTGGCATTGGCACTCTTTGATTGTCTTTCCATGCAAGTGGAGATTTTCATGATTTTTCATATGCCATGTAACTTTTATTGTATTTGGACATTTTAAATATTACAAGACTCTGATTCTTGTTTAAATCTTATGGAGAGTATTAACATCTTTGTCTTGGAAGGCAATCTACCTAGTTGTGTTCAGGCTACAAATTCCATTCAGGCCTCTGAGGTTATAGTTTCAATCTCGGTTCCATTTTCCAAGCATTTCCAATGCTGTTTGGGGTTTTTTTATTGTTGTTGTTTTATTTTTGAGACGAAGCTTTACTCTGTCACCCAGGCTGGAGTGCAATGGCATGATCTCAGCTCACTGCAACCTCTGCCTCCCAGGTTCCCGGGTTCAAGCAATTCTCCCACCTCAGCCTCCCGAGTAGGTGGGACTACAGGCATGTGCCACTATGCCTGGCTAATTTTTTCTATTTTTAGTAGAGAAAGTGTTTCACTATTTTGGCCACGCTGGTCTCGAACTCCTGACCTCAAGTGATCTGCCTGCTTCGGCTTCCCAAAGTGCTGGGATTACAGGCATGAGCCACCACACCCGGCCTGCAGTGCTATTTGGATCTGCCCTGTGTGTGTGCCACCCAGTGGCCAGTGTGGGACTTACATGATGGTTCATTAGTGTTTTTATTCTCGAAGTTTTTTATTCTCCCAAGTATTTCATTCTCAAAGTTTTTTATATGCTCTTCAGAATCAGATCCATGCAGGAACAATCTGGGGATGAGCCCAGAAATTTATAAAGAGTTTATAAACCCAGAGGTCATTAATGATTCTCAGAGGTCATTTTCCCAAGCTTTTCCCTTTCCACGGTTTCCCCCATAGGGCCCCCTTTTTCAGTCTTCTGGCCAAATAGCTGGAGCTTCCTTTACCCCTCTCTGCCACATTGTTTCACACATGAGCCTGTGATCTGGACCAAGGAAGAGACCCAGGAGAAAAAAAAAGGAACAGGGACTTGTCCCACTCTTAGGATCACAGCTCCTCTGAATAGAGGGGAAGATTCTCTTCTCTCAAAGTTTTAGGCACCTGTGGCCTCTGTTGCTACCACTGTCACTGCCAAGAAATCTCTTTTCCATTCCTGAAGGCTGATCTAGAGGGCTTCTGGAACTCTCTCTGCCCAAGTTAATGTTTACATCTGGGTTTCAAACAGCATTAAGACCAGGCCAGGAAATGCCAGAAGGGAAAAAAAAAAAAAGTAAACACCGTAGGTTCAGTGGTACTTTGAGTTCTGGTCTTCATCCCCAATCTGTCTGCGACTATTTGCTTTTCAAAGTTGTCAAGTAGGTGTATTATACATTTTGCCTAAATTTTAGGCTGCATTCAGTGGGAGATACAGAATCAAGTGTATTTACTCCATCTTATCCAGAAATAAAACTGCCATAACCAGAATAAATAATATTAGTTATTGTATTTTTCAGCTCTGGAATTCTAGTTGGTTCATTTTCAAGTCTTTTCCACCTTTTTTTTTTTGAGACGGAGTCTCGCTCTGTTGCCCAGGCTGGAGCGCGGTGGCGTGATCCTAGCTCACTGCAACCTCCACCTCTCGGGTTCAAGCGATTCTCCTGCCTCAGCCTACTGAGTAGCTGGGATTACAGATGTGCATCACCACACCCAGCTAAGTTTTGTATTTTTAGTAGAGATGGGGTTTCACCATGTTGGCCAGGCTAGTCTCGAACTCCTGACCTCAGGTGATCCATCTGCCTCAGCCTCCCAAAGTGCTGGGATTACAGGCGTGAACCACTGCGCTCGGCCTTTTCCACTTTTTATAGTTTCTAGGTATTTGGTGAAATTTGCAATCTTGTCTTCTTATCTCCTTCGATATATGAAGGAGGTAAACTAATTTTAATTTTATAATTCATGTCTAATAATTCCAAAAGTTGGAAACCTGTGGGCCAATTTCTTTCTTTTCTTTTGTTTTTTGAGACAGAATCTCACTCTGTCACCGAGGCTGGAGTGCAGTAGCACAATCTCAGTTCACTGCAACCTCTGCTTCCCAGGTTTAAGTGATTCTCGTGCCTCAGCCTCCCAAGTAGTTGAAATTACAGGCATGCACCACCACACCTGGCTAATTTTTGTTTTTTGTTTTTTTGGGTTTTTTTGAGATGGAGCCTCACTCTGTCACCCAGGCTGGAGTGCAGTGGTGCAATCTCAGCTCACCACAACCTCCGCCTCCCAGGTTCAAGCAATTATCTGCCTCAGCCTCCCGAATAGCTGGGATTACAGGCATCCGCCACCACGCCCAGGTAATTTTTGTATTGTTAGTAGAGACAGGGTTTCACCATCTTGGCCACGCTGGTCTTGAACTCCTGAGCTTGTTATCCACCCACCTTAGCTTCCCAAAGTGCTGGGATTACAGGCATGAGCCACCATGCCTGGCCTAATTCTTATATTTTTAGTAGAGACAGGGTTTCACCACATTGGCCAGGCTGGTCTTGAACTCCTGGCTTCAAGTGATCTGCCCACCTCAGCCTCCTAAAGTACTGCGATTACAAGCGTGAGCCACTGTGCCCGGCAACCTGTGGGCCAATTTCTATCTTCTGTGGACTTATCTTCATTTCATGCTGAATATTATATTTGAAATACTTTTTAAAAATAATTTCAGGCTTAAGATGATGCTGTCATCCTCCAGATATGATTTTTGTTTGCTTCTGCCAGGTGCCTGAGGGCACTAGGTATCTTGAACCACCTAATTCTAATTTCAGGGATTGAGATATTTCTTAGTTATCCATGTAACTTGGAGCTCGTCAGTAACTCAATACCGTGAGACTAATTTACTTGATTCCCCTTTCTCCTAGGGTACAAACCTTCAGAGTCCCAACCCAAAACCCAGGGGGCTTACAAGGGCTCCCACTCTTGAGACCATGGGCTCTAATTTTTGTCTCCTTAGTCTCATGAGACTATCTAAACTATTGCTCACTGCAACCTCCACCTCCCAGGTTCTAGCAATTCTCCTGCCTCAGCCACCCAAGTGGTCAGAATTACAGGCACGTGCCACCACACCCGGCTAATTTTTTGTATTTTTAGTAAAGATGGGGTTTCACCATGTTGGCCAAGCTGGTCTCAAACTCCTAACCTCAAGTGAGCCACCTGCTTCGGCCTTCCAAAGTGCTGGGATTACAGGCATGAGCCACTGTACCCAGCCTAACCATGAGGTTTTTGTTGGAGCAGTGGAACCAACACAGACAACTTCTCAGGTACCACACTGCCTGAGCCCCTCCTCCTACCTTTGGGAGGCAAGGAAGAGGGGGCTGGTACTTCCTCCTCTGGCCCTACCAGGAGGATGCCACCATCTGGTATTGGGTTCCTCACCATTTAGGCAGAGAAGCCAGATTTGCACACTCACTTGGCCACCAGCCTGGTCCCTTCCTAAATGAGCTATGAGGGCCTATGAGAGCCATCTCTTCCAAAAGTCCCTGCTGTCCAGCCTGTGGGCTGTCAGGCATGTGCAGCAGCCCCACAAAGCCTTCCCCGGGCCACTGTGAACTTACCATTCCAGTGGCCAAAACTACAGGAGACCAGGCATGAGGGGGACAAGAGTCAGGAACAGGTTCCAGAAAGTCTGGTTTTAGGTCCTTGAGGTTTGTTCCACTCCAAAGCCCTCTGAACTACTGTTCCTACAGTCTAACCTTAGCACCCATGAAATAAAACCATTTCCCATGGTCACCCTTAAAACTAGTCTTTCCCTCCTTCCCACCATGAAAGTTCTCTCCATGGGAAAGCCCCTCCTGTTCTCCACAAAGCATCCTTTCCCCTTTGCCCTCTGCCAGGTGCTGTATCAGCTTGTCCCTCATGTGCTTCCCTTCACTGCTCCGAGAAACCACCTGTCCTCTGTCCCTACCCCTGGGAAACACTGCTTTCCTCCTGTTCCCCCATGAAGCCATTCCCGATCTATAACTGCTTCCTCTATCCTAAGAAACAGTCTCATCTTAGTTCTCACCAAAACCAGAGGATGTCTCCACTTAAGGTTATCAGATTTAGCAAAAAGAAATACTGGGCTGGGCACGGCGGCTCACGCCTGTAATCCCAACATTTTGGGAGGCTGAGGTGGACAGATCACTTGAGGTCAAGAGTTCAAGATCAGCCTGGTCAACACAGCAAAACCCTGTCTCTACTAAAAATACAAAAATTAGCTGAGCATGGTGCCTCACACCTGTAATTCCAACTACTTTGGAGGCTGAGACACAAGAACTGCTTGAACCCGGGAGCCGGAGGCTGCAGTGAGCTGAGATCGCACCACTGTACTGCACTCCAGCCTGGGCAACTCCATCTCAAAAAACAAACAAACAAATAAACAAACCAAAGAAAGAAAGAAATACCGACACCCAGTTAAATTGGGACTTCAAATAAATAACCAGTATTTGTCTCAGTGTAAATATGTTCTATCTATTTTATCCACCCCAGCCCCACTCTTGAAATACTTTTCCTTCTGCCACTCATAAGAAACACTGTCTTCTTTCTGTCCCACTATAAAACACTCTGTCTCCCAAAACCACTGTGAAATAATGCCCCCCAAGCCCCTGAAACATAAAGAAATAACCAAAAGGGACGAATTGTTTCCTTCCTGCCCTCTCAATCCCACCCCTCAAGCTCCTTAACGCTGCCACCCATCTGCCTCTTTGGGGAGTGGACACTCCACTACCCCTGTCTCCACACAAAACATAATCTTTTCTCTGTCAGCTACCTGTTCCCTAGAAGATGATGGCACTCCTGTTACCAAGTAAAAACACTTTGCCTCTGTTTCCCACCATAGTCATATCTGATCCCAACTGCCACTTACTTAGTTCTTAGAGGGCACCAGATTCTTACAACAGCCCTACGAAGTAGGTATTGTTATGATTATTCTTCCAGTTTTACAACTTGCTCTAGATCACGCCATGTTAAGGCAGTCAGATTTGCATATAGGTATGCCTGACTCCAGAACCTTAGATAAACCCAGATTTAACCAGCATTTCCTGGACATTCAGCTTTGTTAAAAATCGAATGAGTAGCCAAGTTGCCACCTGCTGTACACTACAGCGCACACCTGCTCCTCCGTCTCCCCCATGAAACACTGTTGCCTCAGCAAAGCCCACAGAAAGCTCTCCACTGGCCCCCTTTCCCACCCCAGAGAACATTATCTTCTTCCATCTCCCTCCGGGGCACAGTCCCCTTGGCTGTGAACTCCTACACTCCCAGAAGAGGGTCACAGTCAGGCTGTGCTGCCCACATGCCTGGCATCTGGAAACTGGCTGGGGCAAAGGGCATGCCTGTGGTCCCTGTAGCTGGCACTCCAGTCCCTCCCCACCCCTTTCTATAAATAGCCCACTGCTCACTGGCTGCCCAGCAGTTGCAGCAAGAGTTTCCATGAGGTCAGCTTCCCAGAGCGGCCTCCAGGCACCCAACACCCACACTTACCTCTCCTGGAGTCCTGTGGCCTGCTTGCCCCTGCAACGTGCTGTCCCGGGTGCCATGTCTCCGCCGGGCAGGGGGCGTCGGCACCTGCACAGAGGCCTGAGGTGGGGCCTTTCCTAAGCTCTGGGCCCCGCATTCTGGAGCTTGACTCAGAGAAGAAATGGGCTTGCTGTCAGTGGTGGCCTCTCCTTTGGGCTTTGGAGGGGCAAATCTCTTTCTGTTGAAAGGCCTAGTCGGCTGGGGGGTCAAGGAGTGTGTGGGCTGGCCAGGAGCGCCAGGCACCCCCTCGCTTCTAGCCCTGAGGGGTGCCTTCCCCTTGGGACTCTCCCCAGGCGCCCGGACACTCAGGGTCTGGGGTCCCTCTTCCCCAAGAGGCCTGACTGCCTGGGTGTTCTCCAGGTACATGTCCTTCAAGGAGAAATACACTTCCTGGCCTGGGCCTGGGCCAGGGGCCTTCTGGGCCTTGTCTGGAGTGCCCACAGCAGAGGCTGGCTTCCTGGTACTATCTGTGCCAGAGGACCCAGGCCCCCGTGCAGCCCTGCCTCTGGGCTGGGTCTGAACCTGCTCCACGCCCACGGGCCCCTGAGTCCCACAGGAGTCAGGCTCGTCTGAGCTGGGGATGCAGTTTTCTGAAGAACGGCGGCTTTGGGCTGCCTTCTCTAACTCTGGCTTCCGCAGGCCTTGCTTGGATTCCTCATCTTTCTTTTTCTTCTTGGCCCCACTCTCCTCTTTGAGGGCTCTCTGAGGCCCCAGCTCCATGGCGTCACAGATGTATGTCAGCAAGCCATGCTCTCCGTCCTCTCCATTCTCGGGGGCAGCCTCCCCGTTGGTGGTCACTTCTCCAGAAGCAAAACTGTTGATCAGGCCCAAACCTGAGTGCTGAGCAGTCTCAGTCTCTCCCTCCTGCCAAGCCGCCAGGGTCCCACCCTCAGGCTCCCTGGTAGGGACCGAGGGGCCCGGCGCTTGAGCCCCGCTCAATCGCCGCTTTCGCTGGAAGCGGTCGGGGCTGAGCTTGCGCAGAGTGTCGACCTCCCCAGGCACCGCCTTCTCGTGCTTCCAGCTCTGCTCGATCTCGCGCAGCTTTGCCGCAGCCTTGCGCTTCAACTTGGCGAACCAGCGCTGGTGGATCTTGTACTCAGTCATGGTGCCCACCTCCAGGACCCCTGAGCAGGACACAATGCCCTTGCTGTTCTGGGCAGAGGCCTGGTAGATGGCGGCATCTTCTTCTCGACACCTAGAGGTAGGAGCGGGAGGTGCCACCTCTCCCCTCCTGGGAGGTGAGAGCCCCCACACCCCCCAGCCAGAGCCGTTCAGAGCCGGGCACACTTCCCCCTCCCTACAGCAAGCCCTGCCGTGTGCTACGCCCCATCTCACACGTCACAACATACAACACCCTCCATTACAGCTGAGGGAACTGAGGCTGGCAAAAAGGTGGCGGCTGACCAAGGCCATACTGTCCCAGGAGGGATTAGACTTGGGGCCCAGGAGAGCTCCCTTCAGAAGCAGGTGACCAACACAGCCCCTCGTGAAGTCATGATGATACAGTTGCTTTTTTTGGCCGCTGACCTCATGGAAAATATTTCTGTAGGTCAGGACCTCTGCTGGCTGCACCAGCTCTTTGACTGTCAGGAATACTCCCACTCTGGCCTTAGGAGCTCCCAGACACCGGAAGGCAGATGTGGTTCACCAGGTGGTTCAACCACACAGCAGAATCCTGCCCTCCATCCCCAGAGAGTGCCTGGGCATCTCCATCCAGACTGCTCCATTTCTGAGGGCAGGACCCCAGCCAGAGGGCCCTCGGGAGGGCAGAGAGAGCAAAACAGGCCCTTCTCCCTCACCTGTACAGCTGCAGTGTGTGGCGGTTGCCCTGATGAGTGATCTCATATTTTGGCAAGCCACAGTAGCGGTCCAGCTCCGTATCATCCTTGTACCAGGTCACCTCTGGCTCTGGGTATCCTGAGAAAGAAGCAGGAGACTGGGTTACAGCAAGGCCAGTTCCAAAATAATGGGAAGAGGCCGGGCACGGTGGCTCACGCCTGTAATCCCAGCACTTTGGGAGGCTGAGGCAGGCAGATCACCTGAGGTCAGGAGTTTAAGACCAGCCTGGTCAACATGGTAAAACCCAGTCTCTACTAAAACTACAAAAAAATTACCCGGACGTGGTGGCGGGCTCCTGTAATCCCAGCTGCTTGAGAGGCTGAGGCAGGAGAATCGCTTGAACCCAGGAGTCCGAGGTTGCAGTGAGCCAAGATCTTGCCACTGCACTCTAGCCTAGGCGATAGTGAGACTCCATCTCAATAATAATAATAATAATAATAATAATAATAATAATAATGGGAGGAGAGAACACGAGGCCGTGGCTTCCCAGACCACCTGAAGAGACTGGACAGGACCACCTGCCCCAGGCTTGCTGGAAGAACCGAGCCACTGTATGATAGCTCAGCTTATTTTTAGAAGCTGGTCCCTGTCAAAGCTGAAAACAATTCCCCTTCAGCAATAGGAAGGAAAATATGGAGGAGAAACTTTCTAGCTTCCTAATGGGAAGGGAGACAAGGAGTTTCCAGAAATCCTTGGCTACTGGGAATAAGCTTCCTTCTATAGTGGCCCATTCTACTTCCTCAACTGCAGTAAGGGCTCTATCCTCAGGGGTCTCCTCCCTTATGTCCCACCATGATCATCCCTTCTAAGAGCCCTCCTCCTTTCATTTCAGGTTCCTGAGCTGTTAGGATTATTTGAAAACATGGCTAAAGCATCTATCTGTCCACCCGTTCATTCATTTACCTATTATCCATCTGTCCACACATCTACACCTTCCTACCCACCCTGTCACTGCAGTGACACCGACTGAGGTGTCTGCCCAGCCCCTTCTCTGGGCACTTCCAGCCCACCCACAGGAGGAGCTCCCAGCTGTTACTGTCACGTGTCCCTTACCTCTCTGGCCATAGTGGATTGGTCCAGTAACGGACACCAGATCAGCTAATCTAGCTAATTCTTTGACCAGGTATTTGGGAATTAGGACCTAGAGACAGTCTACCATTGTATCTGAAAAATTTAGCTTCAAAAGAGTAGAGCAGCCATGTTCTGCCACATGGACTGAGAAGCAAACACTACAGTGAGAGATGGAAAAAGGAAGTTGATGTTCAGGATTGAATAAGAGGTGGAAGACAGAGAGAGTTGCAAGATGCTTCCAAGTACTAGTTCCATTCCTTGCCTGGGCACAGCTGCCCTCCTCTTGTCAATTCCATAAGAAGCCCCTCTGGACTTACCAATGAATCCTGCTTCATTTCTTAAGCTGACTGATCTGCGTTACTTGCTTGATATGAGACTGCTAACATACATTCACTCAAAGATATATATTAAGTACATATGACTGGCAAGTTAGGGTTATGAGGACACAGAAGCACATAAGACACGGTCTCTGCTCTCCAGGAGCTTACTGTGTGATAGAAAAGGTGAGACATGGCATGCACCCGCACAAGGCAGCAATGCACCTAGCATCTGCACAGGCGCTCTGCCTTTCCTACTGCCTACGGATGCACCACGCTCCTAAGTAAAGCGGCCCCTCACTGGATCCCACCTGCTCGTGCCTAATCAAGGACATTTCTCCAGCAATTATTCCTGCTCGCTCCTGCATCATCAGACTTTTCCTCTCTGTTACATCTTTCTCATCAGCGTACAAGCCTGCTCTACTGTGTCCTTCTTTAAAAAGAAATTCCTTTGACCCCACAGCCTCCTCCAGCCCCTGCTCTCATTTCTCTGCTCTCTGCTTTACAGAAAAATTCTTTGAAAGAGCTGCCTGTACTCACTATCTTCATTTTCCTTCCTCAAATCAGACTTTATAGCCTCTCTTGCACCAGAATTGCTCTTGTCAGTCACCCATGACTTGTACATTGCCAAATCCAATTCCTATGCCCATCTGCCTAACCCATCAGCATCACCAACCCCACTTCCTGAAACCTTTGCTTCACTTGCTTCTAGGACACCGCTCTTTCTGGCTGCTCCTCCTACTTCACTGGCCACTTTTCCTGAGCTCTTCATCAGTCCTCCCCTCCCACCTAGACTTGCCCCAAAGCTCAGGCCCCAGAACCATTTTCCATTCTCTATCCATACTCACAACCCAGGAGGTCCTAATTCTGTCCTGTGGCTTTCAAATATATGTATGCTCATGGACTCCCAAATTTCTATCTCCAGCCCAGTCTTCTACCCTGGACGTTATTTCTGACTGCATATCTGGCATTTCCACTTGAAGGTCCAAGAGGTATCAAGCTTACCATGTCCCATCCAAGCTCCTTAGTCCGCCCTCCAAGCCAGTTCCCACAAATCTCAGTAAATAGCAACTTCATCCCTATATTTGGCTCAGGCCAAAACCTAGAGGCAATGCTGTATTCCTTTACTTGCCTCACCTCTACTCCATCAGGCAATCTTGCTGGCCCTCCCTTAGAATATATCTAGAATCTGATCACTCCTTGCCATTCCCCACCAACAGCCTGGTCCACATTCCCATCATCTCACACCTCAATTTCTTTAATAACCTCCTCACTGATCTTGCTGCTTGGCTCTATTCAGCCCATTCTCAGCAGAAAAGACAGAGTGATCCTTTTAAAATAATGTCAGATCATGGTACCCCTTTGTTCAAAACACCCCAATTAGCTCCATTTCACGCAGCCCTCATGATCTGGGCCCTGTGACCATGCTGGCCCCACCTCCCTCCACTCTCCCCCAGCTTGATGCACCCACCCATGTGGTCCTGCTGGCTTGCCTCACACACCACAGGAGCACCAGGCTTTGACTCTTGCAGGGCTCTGTTACTTCCCTAGAGAGGCCTTCCCTTCCACCCCGTGTAAAGCAGCAATGCTGTCTCCCAGGCACTTGCTATTCCTCTTACTACATTTATTTTTCTTCATAGAACACATTGCTACCTGACATATTATACACTTAGGAGTGTGTTGGTTTACGTCCATCCTTTCCATGACAAATATCAGCTCCATGACAGCAGGGACTTATCTGTGTTATTCACTGCTGTGTCCCCAGTTCCTAGAATAGTCCCTGGTATGGAATCAACACTCATCAAATATTTATAGATGAATAAATGAAGCAATGCACTAAGTGCTTAGGGCTGCAGAGAAGGGAGCAATCACCTCTGGCTAGGGACTCAGGAAAGCTTTTGTAGTGAGTGGCACCTGAACTCAACTTGGAGGGTGGGCAGGATTTCAGGAAAGATGGGTTCAGTCCCTCTGATCTCCCGCTTCCCCTCAGCTCTAACGTCACCTGCACTTCCCCTTCACAGCACTAATCACAATACTGTCATTGACTATTTCCTTGCCTATCTCTCCTGCTAGACTTAGGTCCCATGTGGGTAGAAACTGTATCTTGTTCACTGCTATATCCCCACCACCTAAGACAGTGCCTGACACTGTGGTGTGGTAATTACTTAAAAGAAATCTGTGGGACGATAAGTAAATGAGTAAGTAGGGTGAACACACAAGGTGGATGGGAAGGGCATGCCTGACAAGGGAACCCCAACATGAGAGGGGGAGGGTGACAAGCAAAGGGCATGCTGGGGAACTGTGTACAGGAGCAGGGAGCAGGGGAGGCGAGGCTGCAGCAGCGTCGGCCAGGAACAAACTCTGGGCAGCCCTGGCTGTAAAGCGAGCCCCATGTTTCCACTGTGAGCTAAACCCCCTGGTTACATCACTGTGTGTGTGACCAGAGCCAGCACAGGTGTCCTCACCATCCTGTGAGATGATCTCATCCCTACAAGGACCCAGCTCAGAGCCTCCCTGCCCCATGACCTGCCCAGCACAGCCTCAGTCTCCAGGGCATCTGAGTCCAGTCAAATGCTTGGGCAAGAGGGCAGGGGTGGGGCAAGGAGGGAGGAGCTGAATGGACCCCACAGCCCCAGGGCTGGGGCCTCAGCCTCCATGCCACCCTCTGGTGCTGCCTCTACACAGTGGGGGCCAACCCGACAGCTTAGGGCTTCATAGCCACAATGAGCTTTGGAAGCAAATTTATTTGGGAGAACACATTGCCTTGAGCCCTGAATAATGTGAACTATATCCTAAAATGCATAAAAGCAGGAGGGCTCCGGGTCCTTCACTCCCAGCTGTGCATTTGTGCATGTCCACAGGCAGGTGTGCACACACTTCTGGCCCTGGCCAGGACAGCCCATGGCGGCACTTGAGCCTGTGGCCTTCCCTCAGCCCCTTCACACCCTGTGGCCTCTGTTTCACAGCCAGCAGACCTGACTCAAGAACCCAGCTTGGAAACTTGCAGCCTTGTCCCAACCATTCCCAGTTCACAGAAGCTCCGATTCAAAAGAATAATGAATGGAAATTTAAAGTTTTCAAAAAGCTTTCAAATACATAGAATTTCATTTGACCCTCAGAACACTCCTGTGCAAATGATTGCCAACATTAATGAAGACTTACTATGTGCCAGATACTAAGCTGAATACTTCTCATGTATTATCTCATCTAATCCTCACAAAAATCCTATGAGGAATGTACTCTGCTACTAATCTCCAATTTAAGGACGAGGAAATCCCAGCTCATGAAATTAAAGCTCTTGTCCAAAGTTATCTAGCTAGCAAGTAGAGAGCCAGAATTCAAATCTCTCTCTTTTATAACACAGGCTGGTATTTTAATTCCTATTTTATACAAAAGGAAAATGAGGCTCAAAGAAGCTAAGTAACACCCAGGGTCACACAGCTGGCAAATGGCAAAGCCCTAGGTTTCCTTTTCCTTTCTCCAGTACTCTTTCCACTGGGGTTTCTGGGACCAATATATAAGTTTTTGCTTCCAACAGTCATTATATTAGACTTACTTCTCTAAAAAAAGTTTCTTCAGGAACATGGTCCTGTTTCAGAAGACTCAATCCCTTTGTGCAACTTGCCCACTGTTGATGCTTCCTCCTTCCATCCCAATATGAACATGTGCACCCACATGCAAACACACACACACACACACACACACACACACAACACAGAATCTACAACAGAGCTGAGGAGAGTGGAGGAGGGAAGCCCCTGTGCTGGAGACAGTAGGCTGCCTCAAGGAAGACAGTAGCACTCTGGCCAGAGGGGTCCCTGGGGGAGACAGGAGCTAGCGGAGGCCCACTATCTTCCCACAAGCCTACTGTGAGTTGGAAGAACCCCAGGGCCTTGCCTGTCTTCTCTGTGACCCCAAGGGCTTCCATCACAGGTCAGCCAGCAGGAGCACTGGCGCAGATGACTCTCCCTCACCTGGACTAAGTTCTGACCACCAGGAAAGCATCACCTCTGCCTGACAGGGCCCTGGTGGGCTGACTCATCCTAGCCTTGTTTAGGAAATGCTATCAGCAGTGAGGAAGGAAGAGTGCACGTATGGTCACTCTGGAGACAAGCCAAGAGCAGAACAGCAGCCTCACAGAGAGGCCAGTCTCAGCCAGAGATCCATCCACCTTCCACCTCTCCAGACTAGAGAGCTCCCGTGTCTAACCCTGACTCTTTAGTTTGCAGAACCTTCTGCATTGCCCCTCCTCTCCTTCCTTTCCCTCTCCTACAGCCTGCATTTTCTCCTTGCTAATTAGAAAAGGCTTGTTTGAGGTGTACTATGGTGATCATAGAGACCTCTTTCCTAATGTGCTACACAAAACTCAGGTAAGCTGAGATTCTGAATGTATGTGAGGATGAGTGGGGGCAGGAAAGGAGAAGATCAACAATGGACTAAGGTATGGATATCAGAGATAGCCAGAGCCCCAGAAACCTTACAGACTCCATTGGTGGCGTTGTAGGTCTCAGCACAGTAAGTGCTATGATATACACAGTAGGTAGGTTGTGTGATATACAACCATATATCATAAAATAAATGTCTGAGCAGCCCTGCCTGGTCATCATGAGATGTGGCAGAAAAGCTTGCTCCTTTGGATTGGGCTTGAAACAGGGAACAGCTTACTTCCTTGATGACACTGGGAGTATTTGATAAAATACCCCATGATTCTATAAGCCAGACTCATGTCTGACATCTCCACATTGCTCTTAAACTCCATGGCTACAAAGAACAGAATGGAAAAGGAGAGGAGGGAGAGCCATCCCTGACACCTGCCTCTCTCAAGTGGTCCCAGGTCCCCACTGCAGCCGCTGTTACCAAGGTACCAAAGCTGTGGCTGAAATGAACAGGCAATATGGCAAGTGGAAAAGGTACTGGTTTTGTCATCAGCACAGTCAAGCTTCACTGTGGTCATTTGATATGTACTGAGCATCTTTGTGCCAGCTCTGGAGAGGCATGATGTGTCAGGTGTATGCCCTGTGCTTGTAGATGTCACGATCTTGTTGGAGAGAGAGAGATGTGTAAACAAAAAAACTATGTGGTGGAGGATGGAGCAAGAGCTCTCCTGGAAACACTGGAGATGACCTCCCAGAGGGCAAGCCCCTTGAAAGATGAGAAGGAATTTGCCAGGCAGAAAAAGAGTAGGCTTCTAGGTAAAAAGGCAGAATGAACATGCCATCTATCTTCATACCCTCCCTCAAACTCACTAAACTGCCCTGAAAAGACTTTTTAATCAACATATGTAAAAGCACAAAGATGAAGTGAACAGGCAAGGAGAGTAATAGGAGCAACAAAATTTTGAAAGTTAGAAAGCAGATGGACAAGTGGAAACTGACTTAGCAGACTCAAGACAGCTCAACCCTAAGCTAGCAGTGGAGAAAACTGAGAACTATCCTTTCGACACCAGAAAATCCCCAAAGGGCCTAAGAATTGGCAATTTGGTACCTCTGGAACTGGGAGAAAGAGGAAGGAGGAAAGGTTCAAAGATGCTTAAAAAATAAATCTTTGGAACCCTTCAACCATTCTATCTCACTGGATGACTGCTCCTTCCCCACCACAGCCAAAGATGAAGTTTATTATTTGGAAATGTAAAAATCTGCCCTGAGAGTAAGCCAGCATAACTGAGGGCATGACTATTCTATGAAAAATAGAAAAATGTAATAACCATATATCATAAAATAAATGTCTTATGCTGAGAGCCCACCCAACCCTCTGATCTGCATAACTCCCAGAAAACCTTTCGCTAGGAAACCTAGCAAGTTCAAGAGGAAGGAACTAAAGAAACTTACTTGGCAGTTCCCAACAGTGGCTACCTAGGTCACCCTACAGTAAACAGCCAAGTTTTCAGGCCCCTCCTCCTTGCTCAGAACTTCTGATCAGCTTTTAAGTCTCCTACTCTTGCTCATTATCTGACAGCCAAAGATTTCTAGATATGGGAGGAAAGCCTACAATCGAAGATTAATGACAAAATTAAATTAAACAGAGAAAAAGCAAGACAGAAGAAAAACTATGCAAGGAAAAGGAAGCTTTTAGAAAACTATCATTAATAAGCATCTCAGAGAGCTAAGAAAAGATACTACATTCATGAAAAGTGCAGGATGCTACAGAAAATGACAAAAATTAAAACCCTTGGAAATTAAAATTCAGTAGAAGAGTTGAAAGATAAAACTAAGGAAATCTCCCAGAAAGTAGAGCAAAAGACAAATAGATGAAAGGGGAATAAAGGATAAGAAAATAAAAGTCCACGACCAGGGGAACAGCTATCCAAACAGGAGTTTGTAAAGTAAGACGACAGAAAACAGGAGGATAAAATCAAATTTCCCAGAACTAAAGGCTCTCCGTTTCCAACTGAAAGCATCTAAGCATGTTCCAGGGTGAAGAGACCCATATCGAAATACATCATTATGAAATACCAGAACACTCTTACAAGCTTCCAGAGAGAAAAACTGGTCACATGCAAGGAATTAGGATCAAACTGTCTTCTCACTCTGAAAAGCAACACTGGAAGCAAAAAGATAATGGAACAATGTCTAAAATTCTGAAGGGAAATTATTTTCAGCTTATAATTCTATACCCAGCCAAATTCGCAAGAAAAAGTAAAGTAGAAAAAAAGAGGCCGGGCACAGTGACTCATGCCTACTATAATCCCAGCACTTTGGGAGGCCAAGGTGGGAGGATTGCTTGAGCCCAGGAGTTTGAGACCAGCCTGGCAACATAGTAGGACTTAGTCTCTATCACACACACACACATACACACACACACAAAATAAGTTGGGTGTGGTGGCACATGCCTGTGGTCCCAGCTACTCAGGAGGCTGAGGCAGGAGGATCACCTGAGCCGGGGCGGTTGAGGCTGCAGTGATCTGTGATCATGCCACTGCACTCCAGCCGGGGTGACAGAGGAAATCTTGCCTCAAAAAACAAACCAACCAAACCAACAAACAAACAAAAACATTTTCAGACACAAGGAATCCAACATCTACTTCCCATGTACTCTTTCTAGAAAGCTGCCAAAATAAGAATGTAAATCAAGAAAGAAAAAAATGTAGAATACAAAAAGCAGAAAGTTACCACAGAAGAGAGGTAAACCAAATCTAGAGGATGGTAACTGTGTACCAGATGCAGAGAAACGAAGGCACATTAGACCAGAGGGACTCAAGGGAGAGCAAGGTCCAGACCTTGCCATCACTATGCCCTCTGCACCATCTTCAGGACCTGATGAAACCACTGGGGCAGTATTCAATAACGCAAAAAAATAAACCAAGAAAGGAAGACATGAGATCCAGGAAGCTGAATTAAATCCACAGAAAAGCAAAGGGAAGAGCCAGGATAACAGCTGTGTATCAGGCCCTAAAAGCCTAGCAGTTCAGATAAAAGAAGAATGGAGAGCTCCAAGAGGAATATCTCCAAGGAAAGTAACTGCCAGATTACTGATGTCATTGACCTTGCAGAATATCGTATTAAGAGGCTATTAGGAGGTATAAGAAAAATTAGCAACAGATACAAAAAAAAGAAACAAATGAAAAACTATGGAAAGTACTAACCTCAGGAAAAACAAAAGAAAAAATACAAGCATAGTATGCTACAATGTTCAGTTATGAATAATATTGTATAGGCATAATAAGGTAAACAGTAAATGTTGATTAAAGCAAAAATTATGATATAACTGAAGCAGGATAGTTTTAGAAAACTATCATTAATAAGAGTCAAGGAAGTAACCATGTCCTCAGGACACAGCAACCATCCGGACTATACAGTCAACACAATAAGCCCCAGCATGAGCATTCTAAAGTTCTTTCAAGCAAAGCTATCTCCAGTAGGGAATTCCCATGTAGAGAGCAGGAGCATTTTGATTTTACCTGTCCTCAAACTCACCCTTTGCTCATTGTAATAGTAAAAAGCACACCCCTGGGTGGAGATTTAAGATGCATGTCTCATTAGCATGGGTGTGGTGGCACGCGCCTGTAGTCCCAGATACTCACGATGTATAAACAGCATGTACAGCTACTGCGCATGTGCACCCAGAGGACCACCCAGAACATGCTTAGGAGCAACACCGCTTCCTACCTCCTCATGAATAATCATGTAAGACTTACAGAAACGGAGTCGCCCTAGGTACCAGTCTTTGCTGTCTCATCCTCACGAGAAGCCCATGCTGAATCTTCTCTCTCTCAGGGTGTCCTGTCTATTCTGCACCTAACTTTTACAGTATTCTTTTTCCTTTGCAATAAATTGTTCTATCTCCTTTGCTGTGTGTCTTTTGTTTCAAGTTTTTAAAACTAAGAAGATAAGAACCAAAGTTCCACAACTGCTGTCAACATAATTATATGAAGAAGATAAGTTCAGGGAAACAGAGAAAATGATGGTATAAAAGAGCTAATTCCTTATCTACCATAACAGGAAGACAATAGAGAACATCTAAAACTGAAGAATTTCACGTAGTACTCAGCATGATGGAAATGTATACATGCCAGAAGAAACAGCTAAAAGCTGAAAACAGTTGCTTCTGGGAAGACAAATTGAGAGGGGTGAACTGCTGTATTTTGAAATATGCCTTTTAGTATAATTTGAAGTCTTAATTATGTGCATATATTTATTTGACAAAGTAAAATTTAATTTTCTTTAAAAAGAAGGATTAAGGACTTTCTAAATAGAGAAAATGAGATGTGCAAAAGCATGAAGCTGTGAAAGAACCGGGTTTTTCTAGGAAACTGTAAGTGCCACAGTAACACAGGAGATGCAGGCGGGAAGCAGCATCAGATGCCGGAGAGCAAAAGCAGTGTCTCCCTCACTAGTGCTGCGGACTTTGGCAACGCATCAGCCTCTCTCAGCTTCCTCCTTGGTAAAATTTGACTAAAAATAGCACTTACTTCATAGGGATTTGTAAGAATGCAATGACAATGGAAACAGACAACTTGCGAAATTCACCATACGCCATACAAAGGTATGGGATGCACACCTATGTCGCTCGGAGCAGAGAGTGTTCTCAGTCTGCAGCTCAGAGGGTTGAGTAAGGGTGAGAACTGCCCAAGTGAGAAGCTGTTTACTGGCTGGGGTAATCAAGTCCGCCAGAATTCACAGCTGGAAACCACGAATGACCTTGACTTACAGAAACAACAGGCTCTCCAGAGGGAGCCTGGGCCTGGGATCTAATAGCTGCACAGCTGGGAGGGGTGGGTACCCATTTGTGGGTCCTGCGGGCCCTGAGGCTGGTCAGGTTGGAGTCTCTACTGGGTGATCTGGGGGAGAGGCAATGTCTGGAACCACCCTCCCAGCACTCCCACCCATTATCTTCCCCTTCCAAGGAGTATCACTCTGCTTCCTATTCTGCCAAACGGTTGCTTCAAATTCCATCACGAAGCTCAGTGAAATGCAAGTAACAGTCAGTTTCTAACTCTTATGTGGTACTTACTGTACATAAGGTACTACTCCAAACACTTTGCATGTATTAACTCATTCAGTCTCAAATAACCCTATGAAGTGCATCCTATCATTATCCCCACTTTACAGATGAGGCAGCTGAGAGGTTATATAACGTGCTCAGTAACATCATTGGAAAGGGGATGAGCCAGGACTCCAAGCCAGGCAGTCTGCCTCCAGGGTCTGTAGTCAGAATCACCACATGCAATTCTCCTCTCAGGCTTGAGACTCCCAACCTTCAAATTACTCAACTATAACATGGGGATACTCAGGGAGATGGCCTCAAAGATCTCTTTCCATTGGAGTACTTCTTTTCTTGCAACAAATAAGGCCATTAGTCATGGATGTATCCCTGAGGGTCAGGAACCTTCACTGAGGACAGGTTCTGAAGAAGAGTAGGGTATATATGTGGCTCCAGAATGGGGGAAGCAAGGGGCACCAGCCCACACAGGGATGTTAAACTAGAGAGAAAGCTCAGAAAGTAAATGTCACCTCACGTAGTTTTGTGCACACAGCCCGCCACCCCACCATTCCTGTCCTCACAGCCTCCTTGGACCCTGCTCTGTGCAGAGGCCCTGGCATGGAGCATACAGACAGCATCCTTACCTGTGACGATGCAGGTGAACCTGACGTCGCTGTCCTCGGACACAGACCGGGACTTGAGCGTGGTCTCAAATAGCGGCTGGGTCTCCTCTGTGAGCTGAGCAATGATGGAGCAGAAGGTGCTCCTAAGAGAGGCAAAGAGCTATTCAGAGCTGGCCTTCCCCACAACAAACAGCACAGCCTGGCCTGTCCAAGGCAGCTTCCGTCTTACCATGCCTGCCCATCTTCCTGTGGCCAGAGCTGCAGCACCCCGGCAAGTCTTTCTTCAAGGCAGCTTGTGCCTCTTGGCCAGGCTGGGGCCAGGTATCAAGGGGTTGAATGGAATCCTGGCCCAGACCCATTACAATAGGCAAGCTACTGACCATGGGCCAGGCTCCTGAGCATGCCAGTCTACAAGCCCAGGTGTCCCATCCCATCATTGTTTGAGGGGCCTTACTTCACCCTGCACCTTTCATCTCCAGGGACACTGGTGCATGAGGGAGACACACAGATAAGTAGGTCAAGCCTCAGAGATGGAGCCCCCAGCATAGCAGAGCCTTCATTCATGCCAAGAGGGGAAGGCCAGCCAACCCTCAGTGATTCAAGGGTCCTAAGAGCACAGGAGCCTCTCCTAGAGCTTGGGCTCAGAAAAAAAGCTCCTACATTTGTGAGTGCAGACCCACAATGGACAAAGAATAAGCTGGCCAATGCTAGGGGTCTAGACCCAAGGGGGGACTCTAATTCATAAGGGTATCAGAAAGGAGAGACCCAGCCGAAATGGGGCTGGGAAGCAGCCTTGGAAAGCCAGCTGTGGCTCCCCTGCTCCATCCCTGGATACCACATGCTGAAGTGAAACATGGTTGGCTGCTCCAGGACCAACCAGCAGGAGTGCCAAACCACAAACGGATCCACCCCTGCAAAAGCCAGAACTTTTAGTTCCCTTCTCCAGTCCATCTCCCAGATTTCAGGGGCATCAGTAAGCACTGAGTCCAGTACAAACTCACCAACAATGCTCAGGCTTACAGTCTTCTCCTTCCTGGGCCCAGGAAGCAAACTACCATGCCAAACCCTTTCAAGGGCCAGCAGAGACACAGTGCGTTCCTAGGTGTGAAGCGCCACCTGAAGGCAGGTTGTGTGGTGCACAAGCCGTGCCCGGCCCTCCCTCCCCAGGCACACATCCCATTGTGAGCGGCAGAGAGGACTGTGAGGGGGCAAAGGGAAGAGAAGCAGGAGAAACTGTAGTGAGAAAGACACATCATTCAAAGGTGCCTTTCCCTGTGCCTTAGAGGAAGGGATGGTCACCCAAGGGCAATGTTTGTCTGTCCATGGCCTCTCTGCCAGGGGCTAAGAGAGTCTGTGGAAGCAGAAGCAAACAGGATCTAGAACCCTCCACTTTGTGGGGAGGGATTCCACATTCGATGTATCTTTTCTGTGAATATTATTCTAGACTTGAGTTTGAGGAGAAGGGTTGTACCCCAGAGAATATCTGGAATCAAGTAAGACTTCTGAACTGATGGGGTTCCTGCTGTGGTTTCACCACAGGAATGTAGATACCTGGGCATTCATGGAGTTGACAAGGGCCCTCCCCCACAAAGATCACCCATAAAGGGGATCCCAATCTCACATACCTGAACATTTGAGCTGGGTCTGCAGTTAGACATGTTCTGTAACACTCCCTACAACCTTCCCTTGCCTACAACTCATCTGTGCAATAAGCTTCTTTTCCTTTTCTTCTTAAGCCACTCAGAAATAGAGGGTCCTCAGGGCCTAGGCTATTAACTCCCTGAACACTCAGGAAGTGTTAATATCTGAAAACGTTTCTTGCTGCTATCATACTAACAGCAATTTCTGATTTGGGGAAATATCAAATCTCAATCAACACTTTCCAGAAACCACCAGGCTAAACATAATCCTACTTCCATGAGTCTGCAATTAATTCAAACCATCCCTAATTATGTCCTCCCTGCATAATTTGAATCCTATCTCATCCATGACCTTGAGCCTGGATCCAATATTCAGCTTAAGCTCCTAGGTATGAAGCCGCCTGGACAAGTCTAAGGAAATCATTTCAGCTACTGGATAAGTGAGACAACAGGGAAACTATGTTTTAAGAAAATTTGCAGAGACAAATGCTCATGCTAGATAATGAAAAACAGGCCAGGTGCAGTGGGTCACGCCTGTAATCCCAGCACTTTGGGAGGCTGAGGCTGGCGGATCACGAGGTCAAGAGATCGAGACCAGCCTGGCCAATGTGGTGAAACCCCGTCTCTACTAAAAATACAAAAATTAGCCAGGCGTGGTGGCAGGCGCCTGTAGTCCCAGCTACTCGGGAGGCTGAGGCAGGAGAATCACTTGAACCTGGCAGGCAGAGGTTGCAGTGAGCCGAGATCACGCCACTGCACTCCAGCCTGGTGACAGAGAGAGATGCCTCAAAAAAAAAATAATAATAAAATAAAAACAAGTAGTTATTTTACTTCACCATTCTTTTTGAATGGAAAAGAACATATCTTCTCAAACTTTCCACATTAGGTCCTAAGCTGTATTATAAAAAAATGTTTACATTAGAAAATAAGTAACAGCTGAAAGGGTGGCTAGCTGAAAGCCTTCTCTTTCAGGGAAGTGGGTTTGGGGTACATTTGGAGGCACAGGGAGAGTCACTGTATATACTGTCATGTTCTGCTGAATGTCATACAGCTTCTCGTTGCCACAAGCTTTCTGTCCCCGTCCTCCAAACCATTCGAATGTGGGATGGACTCTGAGTGTGCTGCACCCTATACCCTGGAAAGCCAGGAAGTCCACACATCTGGAAATGGTCTTGTCCAACCCTGACAAGTCCTTCCAACTCCATGACTTCACAAGGATATCACAGACTAATCATATGTCTCTAAAGAACACCAGAATCATTGGTTTTCATGATGTTCAGTGGAACCTAACCTCGCCCTTAGGTAAGGTTTGGTTTGCCCAGGTCGTCTCCTGTCAACGCTTACCACACTCCACTTGGAATTAGTTGTGATATCCTCAGTTCCACCCATGAGCCACACAGAACAAAGTCTCCTCAGTGTTCATCCCCATCAAGGACCATGGACATAGTAGTTGCTAATCATGTCTGTAAACATTAGCTATTTAGAAACCAGTTAGCTATTCTGAAATCTTTTTCTGTGTGAAGAAACTGTAGCTAGCTCTCCCCAAAACTATCAGAGTCTGGGATGAGGCCCAAGTGGTGGGAAGTAGCCAGGAAATGTTCCCATTTTGATTGTAACAGTCAGTTCAGCCAAGGGTAAAGAGCTGTCCTCAGTTCAGGAGGCAAGAAGACAGTCATTCACCCAGCAAACCTGGACCATGAGCCTGCCCAGACCTTGCCCTGACTCTGCAGCAGATTCAGAGAATAAGCTATGCAGGAATACATTAACGTGGTATTCTCTGATCTCACAGAGTTCACAGTCTTCAGGGATGGGGAGGAACCAAAGGAAAGGAAAATTCAGAGAAAGAGGAGGTAAAAGGAGAACTTAAATGACTGCAGAAAAAAATTTTAAAAGGCAGTTACCATGGTTAGAAGAAGATAGACAATAAGGTATCACACCTAGGTATGTGGTTACAAAAAACATGAAAACCTAGAATTGGGGCCAGGCACAGTGGCTTACGCCTGTAATCCCAGCACTTTAGGAAGCCAAGGCAGGAGGATCCCTTGGAGCCAGGAGTTCAAGACCAGGGAACACAGTGAGACTCTGTCTCTACAAGAAAATTTTTAAAAATTAGCCAGGCATCATGGTGCATGCCTGTAGTCCCCGCTACTCAGAAGGCTGAGGCAGGAGGATCCCTTGAGGCCAGGAGTTCAAGGCTACAGGGAGCCATTGCACTCCAGCCTGGGCAACATGACAGAGCAAGACCCTGTCCCTAAGAAATAAAAAACCTAGGATGGGGAAGAGGTGGGTCATGTGACATGACTCATGGCTCTCTGTTCTGTTCCCATGGTGTCTCCTAGGGACACAGAGATGTCATTGCAGGCATCTCAGAGACCCCTGCCCATATTTCTATTCCTGAGATCCTGTGCCCATCTCAAATGGCCCATGCAAGCATCAACTCTGGCCCCCTGTGAGAGCCATGTTCACCTGAGTACCTTCTTGCACTCTCCCCACCCACCCTCCAGCTCTCCCCTCACCCCATGCAGCCTGGTTAGTGCACGAGCAGACACTCAGTGGCCCCTCAATGCCCAGACCCAAGGAAAAAGCAGTCAGAGAAATGTAGTGCAATATGCATTTACCTTCCAGAGCTGGGGTGAGACAACCGGTTGCTTGATAAGCTAAGCAAAAACAGCAAATGGAATCATTAGGCCAAAAAAGCAAGAAGGAAGTAGGCGAAATCAACAGTCGCAAACTATTAATCGGCCACCATCTGGGGCCCAGAAGCCTTTCTATTAAAAGGGACCAGCTGTCTTAGTTGGCCTGCTCCATTTAGCAACTGGCCTGACCACCGGACACCAATGTATCTGAAACCAAGAGCTCATTAAATGCAGCAGAGTCCAGGAAAATGGTTAGGCAGGAAGGAGGCCCTTTGGGGCTGTGCTTTGAGAAAGGTGTGTCCCAGGCATTTGGGTCACTGCCCCCAAGAGGGAGGCTTACAGCTGCCTGGCATGTTTCCCCACCCCACAGCACACCAGCCTGGGGGCAAGCTCCTGCTTCAATTCTTGGCCTTTGGGAGAAAAGAGCCCCATTCCTGGAAATCCCCTGAGAGGCTAGGAGAGACAGGTGGCTTGGAGAACACCCATCATTAATATGTTAAAGTATGGTTAAAGAGGCCACACAAGGCAAACCAGCTGGGAGAGTGAAAAAGAGAAAAACAAGGCAGTTAATTCAGCAGGAGCTGGGAGGCACCCAGCTCCATGGTCCACACAAGGCCCATTCTGCCTGAGGCCCCAATCATCTCTCTTGCCTGGGGCAGCTAGGAAAGGCCACTGTGTAGGGCACTAGGATGAGGACCCACACAGGACCGCCCCTTAGTGGAGTCTAGCCCACTTACTATGAGCCAACTGTTCCCTCTCCCTCCTCCTTTCCTGATACAAAAATCTCCAGTGGGGACCTGGATCCCAGCTCCTTGAGAGATGTCAGAGGTCACCCCATCCACACTCCCTTCGGCTGTCCCTATCATGAGAAGAGCTCTCCCTTCCTTCCCAGCAGCCCAGCCTGTTCAATGGTGCTCACGGTCTATGTCTCTAACCATAAGAAAGCTCTATGAGGATCCCATCTCTTTATAACCACAACACCAAACCCATCCTTTTCCCTAAAACCTGGCTTCACCCCTAACCCCGGGCTCCTGGGTTGGTAGATACCTCCAGCATTCTCCCAAACTCCTAAGCTCAAAACCTGCCATCTTGGACTACTTCTTCTCCAACCCCAAATCCAGTCCGCACAATTCTTGGCCCTTGTTTCTCCCTTCCTCTCTGCTCTTGTTGTTGCACTACAGTCTAGACCCTCATGGCTCCACATTTGATGACCACCTCAGCCCCCTCTCCTTAACCCCTCATATAACCCACTTCTCTAACAAAATGCTGCAGTCCCCCAGTGTAGAGGACGCTGAGTCTCCACTCCTTAACTGGGTTGGTAGGGCCCTCCCTGATCTACTCACACTCCCGCTGCAACCAGATTCCCTCTACTTCCCAATGCTCCGGCGCCACCACAGCCAGGCCTGTCCCTTATCAGCATGAACAGTCCTTCCTGACCCCTGAGCCTTCCCTTTTGTCCTCCCTGTTTGGAAAGTCCTTCCTCCCTCCTACTGCTCAACTAAATCCTGCCCATCCAGCCTTCAAACCTAGTTCTTGTAGCTTCTGTGGCTCCTAGTGCAGTGCTGCACAGACGATGGGTATTTAACTGCTGTTCTATAGAAGGGAGAGAGAGAGAGAGGAAGAAAAAGAAAGAGGAGGAAAGTACAGTGGGGGACCTGGGGGAGGGAGAGAGGTCAGGGGAGAGAAAGGCATTTTTCAAGCAGGAAGGGTGCTGCCCCCGAGAGGGAGCTGCTGCTCCAGAAAAGATGGAAAGGAGCGTGCTAGAGTGCAGCTGCCTCTGCTCAGAGCTTTAAAAATCCTCTGGAGGCCGCGTGGGCAGAACCTCCCATGGTTCCAAGGCACTGGCCAACTCCATCCTTTCCTGACCATAAATTTCATTTGTCCCTCTCTTTCAGGATTGGGAGATTTCTTCTTCTTTGGGTCTGGACTTCTTCCCTGGGAAGGAGAGGGGGAGAGTTAGCTTTCTAATTCAGAGAGGAAAATGACAAGTTCCACCTGCATGTTGGTCAAGAAGTGAGCTGGGACAGAGGACCCCTCCCCCAGCTCTGCTGCTCCTGGACCAACCGCCCTGCCCTCTCTAGGCCTCGCCCTTACATTGTTAGTCAGGTCAGGAGAAACCCTGAACTAATGGAGGCACCTGGTCTTCAGAAGGTGGGAGACCTGCCTGTGCCCTGCTGGCTGGGCCACAGCTAGGCTCAGGGCTGTCACCCAGGCAGGGGAGCTCCCCATTTACTGCCTCTGAGGGGGAGCTGAATGAGAGGCATCAAACATTGGGGCAGAAAAGCTTTAAAGAGTTCTTCGTGCCACCTTCATCTCACAAAATGGGAATTCATACATAAGCAGAATAGAAGAAAAAAAAAGGGTTGGAGGTGGGTTGGAATTCAGGGCCCAGAAAGGAAAGGTCTCCTCATAAAGGAGTGAAGTTAGGACTGAGCACAGTGGCTCATGCCTATAATCCCAACACTTTGTGGGGCTGAGGTAAGAGGATCGCTGGAGCCCAGGAGTTCAAGATCAACCTCGGTGATATAGCAAGACCCCATCTTTATAAAAAATAAATAATTAAAATCTAAACCGGGCATGGTGGCTCATGCCTGTAATCCCAGCACTTTGGGAGGCCGAGGCAGGCAGTTCACCTGAGGTCAGGAGTTCAAGACCAGCCTGGCCAACAGGATGAAATCCCGTCTCTGCTAAAAATACAAAAATTAGCCGGGTGCGGTGGCAGGCGTCTGTAATCTCAGACTACTCGGGAGGTTGAGGCAGGAAGATCACTTGAACCTGGGAGGCGGAGGTTGCAGTGAACAGAGATCACGCCACTGCACTCCAGCCTGGGTGTCAGAGCAAGACTCCATCTCAAAAAAAAAACACACTAAAATAATAAATACATAAAAGAGTGAAGTAGGCTACGGAAAACTAGAACTGACCACGAAAGCTGGGGGCCTCCATCCCTCCTGGCTTTCATCTAGTCTGGGACATAAAAGGCCTTTGGACAGTCCTGGCCTGATACCTCAGGTTCCCTAAAAGCCCTAGACAGCCTGGCTGACCCATGCTGAACAGCAGAGCTTGTTTCAAAGCTGTCTGTAGTAACATCATAGGTTCTGTGACTTCTCTGAGCCCACCTGGACCAGGGCCTCCAAGAATCCAGGGGGCAGGGGTTTCTGGAACTTCTGAGTGTCCCATAAAAGCTAATTAATCATAACTGCTTCAAAAAAAAAATCAAAACTGCTTCTACTCAATTTTGGCCCCTTAACTTCTCTAGCCTACCCACATCTCACTGTTCTATGGGGGTGAGGTCCTAGATGCCGGGTGACCTGGGGGCTGGGCCTACAGTTTGGTGGGACTATCTGCATGTGAGACCTCTGACCCCAGTGGGCATTGGAAATATTCTTGCACCGACATGGACTGGAAACCCTTTCAGAGCTGTGGGACAGAGAGAGGTGCATAGGGAGATAGGTTCTGGGCCATCCACCAAGGCCTCTGGTGTCCATCAGCTCAGCTGTCCATCAGTTCCCAGGGGTAGCCCCTCCTCACAAGGGTCCATGAGAATGATGCCTGGAGAGCTCCATGACACATCTTTGTGAAGGTAGACCCAGAAGATGTTGGAGCCAAGAGTGAGTGGGGACAGAACTTGCCTCTCAGTCAGGACTCTGGCATAGTCAGGGCTCAGCTGGGCTGGAGCCAACATAGCTGGCAAAATTCTCGAGGGACTGTCTTTCTCCCTATCTCTAGGGAGCTCTCCCCACCCCCACAGGCAGTGAGGCTGTTCTGAGGGACAGCAGACAGTACGGTGGCTCCCTCCAACACAGGTCAGGCCTTACTAGAGAAGCAGGAACTGCCTCGCCTCCTCCACTCCCCACTGCAGCCCCAGTCACATTCTCCCCACTTTGGCCAAAGGCTTTTCCAGATGCCTGATAAATCTGGCTGTCCTTGTCTCTCAGAACCTCTAGGGGTCTGTGGCTAGCCAGCAGGAGCAGTAAAAAACTCTGCAGGGGCAAAACACAGCCCAAAGTCCAAAGCTTTCTCCCACTCCTGCTGTCCTGCCCCCTCCAGATACTTGATGAAAGAGACTCCTTTTAAGAACATTCCCATTTAGGTCCAAAGGGACTTAAGCCAGCCACTTCTATCCTGCCTCTAGCTCTCAGGCTGGCACAAGCTTTGTGCTCATGAGGTGTACAATTAACATTTATCTATCATACAACTGCTCAGCCAGGCAGCAGCACTATGTCCATTCTCCAGCCCTTTTCCTAAAAGCCCAGATCCCCTGCCCTCCCCATTCTGCCTGGTTTTCAAGGCACTCTTTCCTCCCTTCCTTCATTGCTGCTGTCTCCAAGAAGGACCCTGGTTCCGCCTCTTCTGTTTGTTCCACTGGTATTGACAAAGGCCAAACACAGGAGGCAAAGCCCAGACAAGTCACTGTGACAAATGTGAGGCTCCCACAAGGGAGTCAGCTTCTCTAAGGACTGGAATAAATGTCCAAATTTCATTCTGGTTTATCTGTAGAGCCAGGAGTAAGAAAAAGGGGTATTCTTTCCTGGCAGCCAGGGGCCTTGTTGAGTCTGACTCAGTCACTAACATCAGTCCTCAGCCCTGCCCCAGACATGTGACACCATTTGACGAGTTTTATGCAGAAACCGGTTCCGGTTACATTTGAACTTTCCCAACTCCAAGGTCAGTAGGACTCAGCCAATTCACGAGGAAGTGCCCAGGACTTTTCCTGAATGTCCTCGATGCCTGTTTTTATGCTGTTTTAGGAATGGAGAACAAGAGGTCTCTGGACAGCCTCTTGGAGGAATGGCCGTTTTCTGCATAATACACAAGTCAAGTTCTCAGGCTATGAAACAACCACTATCTCAACACATTTCCCTTTGGAAAACAGACTCCAGAAGTGAAGGGAAACTGAGCTGCCCACAGGGGGCAGGAAGTGTCTGTCTCCATGGCAATGCGCCTGTCCACGTGTGCCTGTGTGCCTTTGATTTCCTGGATGCCTGTCTATTGTCTTTGTGTCTTTATATCTGTGGGTGGCCTAGCTGCTAAAACAAAGCTTCCACACCTCTTGAACTCTTGGAAGACCAGTGAAGGGCTCATCAGTTCCACACCTCCCTTGGCATTTCACTTCCCCAAACTGGACAGGGCACTTGGCTCCCTCAGAGCTGCAAGTCCTTAATTCCCAACATCTCCAGACAGTACCTCATCCCACCCCCTATCTCACCAGCCCCCACTCAGGTCCTGGGGAGGACCCAAGTCCTCGGCCCAGTAGAGGAACCTTATTTACAAAGGTTTATTTCTTCCTGGAGAACCTCCCCACCCTGAGCTAAGCAGCTCCTACTCTGGGCAGCCCCCCAGCACCCTCTCCCTGTCCCCACCAGTGCTCTCCCCCTCCCTTCCTGCCAGGGAGGAATTTCAGCCACTCTGGCTTTCCTTATCGCTAGCTGTGGAATCCCAAGCCAGGGAGTAGCAGGGTAGGGGGCAGGGGAGATAAGGAAAGCCTTCAGACCCCATGAAATCACTCCAAAGTGGAGCCTTTGTCCTCTCTTGAGCCTCGAATTGCCAGAGGCCTGAGGCGCATGGATCAGGAGGGGTCACAAGGGGCTATGAAAGCCATTCCAGCCCGGCCATGTCCCCAGGCCCTGGGCCTTGGGGCTGAGAGGGCTCGAGGGCGCAGGCCCAGCCCAGGCCTCCAGGGGCCAGGCCGCCCTCACAGGGACTGATCCCAGGGCATCGCCGGCCCGACGCCGCCCTGCCCCTTGGTGCCACTTACCTGGTCTCGGGCCGCACGCTGAGCAGGTAGCTCCGGCTGGCTGGGCTGGGGATCCACACGGGGCCGTCGTCCTCACCGTCGCCCCCCGCCCCCGACCGCCCACCCGCGCCCCAGCCCCGGCTGGGGGCCCTCCGCGACCCCATGGCACCGCCCTCCCCGACCGCCGGCCCCGCACTCGCCGCTGCCTCGCCTGTCCTCCAGGCCCCGGCCCCCGGGCCCCTGCCCGCCGCCGCCGCTCCCGCCCGCGGCTGACGCGCGCCCCTATTTATAGCCGGTGGCCGGGCCGTCGTCACCTGCTGCTGTCCCTCCCCTGGCCTGGCCCGACCCGGGCAGCGCGGCTTGGAGACGCCGGGGGGCGCCGGGGCCCATGTGCCCGCCCCAGGGCCGGCTCCGAGTCCGCTCCCTTGGCGGCCCTGGTGTCTGCAGTAGCGCCGCGTCTGGAGAGGCCCGGGAGGCCTCGGGAGGAAGGCGCAGCGGGTGTCCTGGTCATGGAGGACAGGCCCCTTCGTGGAGCTCCCGGGACCCGGCTCCCGGCCGGCCTGCTCATGTCCCGTGTGGCATATGAGGGGTCCACGAGGCCTGGCCGGGGCCAGGGGAGCCAGGTCAACCGCTGGCCAGCTTGGGCTAGACCGCGGGAGACCAGGGAGCCAAAGAACCAGCCCTCTTCCTGGCACCAGCCGTGACTGACCCTCGCCTTGCCTCGCCAGTGGCTGTTGGCCCAGCACATAGACAAGCCAAGCCACCTCCATTAGTGACCTGAGTCCCTGGGAGGCCGGAACCCCGTGGGATCTCTCTCCTGTCTCCCCCAACACCCCCAGTAACTAGCATAGATTAGGGGCTCAATTAACACTTCTAGATCACTCCTTCGGCCTCCATTTCTCAGCACCAGAGGGGGAAATGGGCTGAGTCCTGATACCCAGAAAAATAATCAAATCATGCAACAATTTCCAAGAACTAGTGCCAAGCACTGCCGAAACCTGGTCTAAATATTGGAAGTCCCCACAGACTTTTTTTTTTTTTGAGACAGAGTCTGGCTCTGTCGCCCAGGCTGGAGTGCAGTGGCGCTATCTCGGCTCACCGCAACCTCCGCCTCCCGGGTTCATGCCATTCTCCTGCCTCAGCCTCCCGAGTAGCTGGGACTACAGGCGCCCCACACCACGCCCGGCTAATTTTTTTCTTTGTATTTTTTAGTAGAGACGGGGTTTCACCGTGTTAGCCAGGATGGTCTCGATCTCCTGACCTCGTGATTCGCCCGCCTGGGCCTCCCAAAGTGCTGGGATTACAGGCGTGAGCCACCGCGCCCGGCCGGAAGTGCCCACAGACTTTTTTATCCATCCTTCTTTCTCCTATTTTCCTGAGAGCATCCAGAAAGTACCTGAAGCTAAATGGCTGTAATTGTTAGAAAGTGGGAGCAAAGGAGTCCAACCCTTCTGTTTTCGAAGCTGCACCCATCCCTACTCCTTTTGGAAATGGCTTTCCCCTACTCCGTGTGGTTCCAATGGCAACTACCTTGTTCCCACATGATCCCACTCCTGGCCTCAGCTGACTGCCATCAAACTCAAGCCAGGCTATTCACGGTACCCAATCTCCCTGACTATAGACCCTGGCTGTGCCAATAAAGTTCTTCTCTAAAACATTTTTAACTGGAATTGGGAAAGAAAACCAGACCCTCTGTGGTGGAAAACTGAGCTGTGAGGCCACAGCTGTCAGCAGCCATGTTTCCTGCCCTGTAGAGTAAGCCAGTTTACAGTGAGGAATAAGGAAGCTAGCACAGAGAGAAGCAGAGGCAAAGGACACAGGGTCCTGGTGGCTTTCAGGTGCCCTCGTTCAGGTGTTCCTGGGTTCCAGCTTTGTCCCTGGCCTTCCTGCAGGTTGGCAGTTCAAACTTTCCTTGGAATCTGTGTACCAAAAAAGTTCTCCCTTTGCTATTTCCAATTTAGGCTTCTGTTGGTAGAAGTATCCTGACCAATACTAATGTGTTCTCTCCTAGTGATCCCAAATTCATCTCTTGATCACATGTCCCCATTCATTCTTGCTCTTGGCTCTCTGGAGGTGCACAGAATCTTCAGTCATCTACAGGGTAGTCTTTCAAATATTTGAAAACCCACTTGGAGTTCTGGTTCATTTGTTTAAATCGTGTATGCTGGTTCAAGCAGCAGAGAAAAAAAGGGGGTGGGTGGGAAAGCATGTGAACACTCATGGGTCAGGTTAGGGCACAGGTGCTAGAGGCCGGGGTCACAGGGTCTCTGCCTGCAAGAAGCTCACAGTCTAATAGGTGGGACAGGCAACATACGATGCAGGGGAAAACATACAATTCTAAAACTATGTATAGGGAAGCACCAAAGTACAGAGAAAACAGTGGTTAGTTCTGCCTGTATTAGGACAGTTTTACAAGGAAGGAAGTAAAACTTGAGAAGGATTTTGTAAATTACGTAGGTCCTCGCCAAGTAGACTGTTATGGGTGGGGAGCAGGAGGAACCGAATATTCCAGATAGAGGGAACAGTACGTATAAAGATATGGAGGACTGACACAGCCCGGTATGCACGTCACTTGAGTATGAAGTCGACAGGAAAGTAGAGAGAGGATGACGAGGCAGGGGCTAGAGCCTTGAGACCTTGCCTAGCACAATGGGGACTCTGGACTTCCCTTCCAGGCCATTTCTCATACGACAATGGATATGGTGCCACTAGTTACCCATTCCAAATTACCAATTTCCTCTGGAAAATGTGGCCCCTGCAGAGGTTAGACCATAGCAACCTACAACTAAATTCGCACCTATATTAAGGGTGGGTCTGGGCTCCAGACATTAACAACTTCCCTGACAGACAGCCAAATTATTTCACTGACTCAATTTTTCATTGAGCCTGTGAGTTTTCAACAAAAACCACTGTTCATCAAAGTCTTCCCCACTCCTAAAGTCTCTTTTATCCTAAGTATACAATCTTACCTGTTTTTGGGGTTTTTTTTTAAGTTAAATCTCATCTTCCTACTCTTATACTTCCTTTCCTTCTTGTCTGTATCTTTTTTAATTCTGCCCATCATCCAGTGCTAACCTATAGGAGAATCTATCCTTCCCATTTTTTTTTTTTATGAGACAGGGTCTCACTATATTGCCCAGGCTGGTCTTGAACTCCTGGGCTCAAGCGATCCTCCTGCCTCAGCCTCCCAAAGTGATGGGATTACAGGCATGAGCCACCACATCTGGCCAAGATTTGGAACCCAGCTTCCTGCTATCTGCAAATTTAACAAGAACACTTTCTCTGTCTTCAACCAAGTTCAAGATAGGGGTCAAGCTGAGTAAGGAATGTCAAGGAACTCAGGGATGGAGAAGTCAATAATGCCTTTCCTTTCCAAGTTTACAGTCTAACAAGAGAAAGAGGACATGGAAAGTGGTGTTGTCTAACAAGGACTAGGCTAGGAGTCCAGAGACTAATCCTACTCTTCCACTGAGCAGCTGTGTGACCTTGGCCGAGTGGCTTGCCATCCCTGAGCTTTAGCTTTCTCCTTTGTAAAATGGAGTGGGGCATTCCATTTATGATCCTGAAGGTCATAGCCATTCATTCAGCAAGTATTAACTATTACATGTGAGGCATTATGCCAGGTGCTGAGGGTACAGAAATGAATAAGTTATAGTCTCTGTCCTCAAGAACCTCTCAAGCCTGAAGAGAGAACAATTAAAACAGAATCATTACAAATCCTGTGATAGAGGTTTGTACATGGTGCTAAAAGAGCACAGAAGAGTGCATGCCTTGGTTCTGCATTAGGAAATAATACAGGCCAGGCACAGTGGCTCACATCTGTAATCCCAGCACTTTGGGAGGCCAAGGCATGAGGATTGCTTGAGTCTGGGAGTTTGAGACCAGCCTGGGCAAGAAAGTGAGATCCCATCTCTACAAAAAAATTAAAAAATTAGCTGGCCATACATCTGTAGTCCTAGCTACTCAGGAGGCTGAGGTGGGAGGACCACGTGAGCCTAGGAGTTGGAGGCTGCAGTAAGCTGTGATTGCACCACTGAACCCCAGTCTGGGTAACAGAGAGAGAACCTGTCTCAAACAAACAAAGTAAGCAACACAGTACAAGGCAGTCAGTGTTTGCCATGTACTGAGGAAGCACTGTAGGAATTTGTTATTGGTGCCAGGATCCCATCTTCCAGTTATTTTGAACTTCCTGGGGCCCCAGAATAAACTGGGTACCTATAGTAGGAAAATCTTGGGCCTGTTTTTGTGTTAGTGAACATATTCAGTGCAATAAAGGAAGCTGCTCCCTGTTAGAGAATGGCGGAATCTCCCAGGACGCTTAGATCCTACTACATCAGTCCCTCTGAACAAGGTCTGAATGAGTTTGAACATGCCTTTTATTTTAATTTAGTTCCATCCCTTCCCCTTCCTACCCAGCCCCCTCTCTTCCAATGCTAACAAAACTCAAAGGGGACAATCCATCCTCCTTTGAAGCATTGCCCATGGCATGCATTACCCAATCCTTAACCCCAATATTATTAGCCATCACATTCCTCATGACCATTCACCTGAACTGATGAAAAACAACAGTCACCTCACATTGAGTGCAACCATGGCAGGCTGTGGTCCGTTACCATCATCCTAGCCTCTCTGATGACAGCCAACACCCTGGCAGAGGTCCAGTGACCTTGTCTTCACAAAGAACTTCACCCTCACTTACCTTTCACATCTCAATCAAATGCCCACCACTTGAACCTTGTCACCAGAAATTTCTCGATTTTTTTTTTTTTTTTTTTTTGAGACGGAGTCTTGTTCTGTCGCCCAGGCTGGAGTGCAGTGGCGCAATCTCGACTCGCTGCAAGCTCCGCCTCCCGGGTTCTCGTCATTCTCCTGCCTCAGCCTCCTCAGTAGCTGGGATTACAGGTGCCCACCACCACGCCCGGCTAATTTTTTTGTATTTTTTAGTAGAGACGGGGTTTCACCTTGTTAGCCAGGATGGTCTCGATCTCCTGACCTCATGATCCACCCGCCTGCGCCTCCCAAAGTGCTGGTATTACAGGCACGAGCCACCGCGCCCGGCAGAAATTTCTCTACCTCTAAAATGTCAGCTCCCCTGTAGCCTCTATGATCTTGAGCTCCTTCCTGGGTGACTTCTCTTATCCACCCCCACCTCATCCCCATACACACAAGAACACAGTGCAAAGTGGACAATAACGTCAACTACACCTTCCTTAGGGAACTCATTGCACTTGCCCTTCACCTTCTACTAAATTTACCCAGCAGGTTCCTAACCTGGGATTAGGTTGTGGGCTTCTTCTTGCTCCAGGGTTGGCCAACATTTCTGGTTTCCAGCCTAAGTCCAATCTCAGGCAGCGTGGCAATCCTTTTACATTCTCCCAAACTGACCTTTTCCTTTCCCTACAGCAACTGTTCCAAATAAGATTACAATCTCCCCTTTGCCTTCCTCACTTGTGATGGTCAACTGTTCCTTCAAAATACAGGGGAAAGTGAGACCATTGGGCAAGAACATCAACTTTAAAGGAGGACAGGCTGTCTATATCATCCCTGTGTCACACTAACCTCTGCTTCCTATATTTGCTTCCCTTCCAAGGCTCTCAAACTTCTGGCCTTCTCAGCAGCCCTACTGTAACAGCTCTCTGCTTCCCCTGCCTGGCCTCCTTCCCTCCTTCCCCACAGCCTATGAGGACAATCAAATGTTTGCTTCTAAAGTATTTACCCATTTTTTTTTTTTTTTGAGACAGGGTCACTCTGTCACCCAGACTGGAGTGCAGTGGTGTGATCATAGCTCACTGCAGCTTTGACCTCCTGGGCTCAAGTGATCCTCCTGCCTCAGCCTCTCAAAGGGCTAGGACTACAGGCACACACCACAACACCCAGTTAATATATATATTTTTAATTTTTTGAAAAGACAGTGTCTCTCGATATTGCTCAATCTGGTCTCAAACTCCTGGGCTCAAGCGATCACACTGCCTCAGCCTCCCAAAGTGCTGGGATTACAGGTATAAGCCACCATACCCTGCCAACCCCATCTTTCAGTTCACTACCAAACTTCTCAAAAGAGCCCAAGGGGAGCCAGTCACAATATCAAGCAATAATGGGTTAACAGAATTGGGTTATGAAGTTGCAAACATTGGCCTCCTGAACAAGGTAGAAGCAACCCAATGAGTAGAGCTGAAACATAAGGTCAGAG
Source organism: Homo sapiens (assembly GCF_000001405.40). Classification (NCBI taxonomy): domain Eukaryota; kingdom Metazoa; phylum Chordata; class Mammalia; order Primates; family Hominidae; genus Homo; species Homo sapiens. The sequence continues at coordinate 84,811,426 of NC_000015.10, read as the reverse complement.
CCAGGCCCACCCAATGACAGTGGCCAGATGCCAGTCCCTGAGGGTTAACGTGGAGCTCCTGGGGACCACAGCTGGTCCTCAGGCTTGGGACAGAGAGAGACTAAGGGGAGACACATGTGGTCCCATCTGTGTGGAGGAGAGGAAACGGGGGGCGGGGAGCAGGGACTGATCACGGTTGGCAGGAAGGGCCATCATTAAGTAATCCCTACACCTCTAGCCTCTCCCTGCCACTGCAGGGCCTCAGCACTGTCTAGACAACCCTGGTGGAGGGGCCCTAGCCTGTGCCTGCACATCTCCAGGGCGTGAGAATGTGCTACTCCTCCAAGCAGCCCATTTCATTTTCAGGCAGATTTTCCTTTTATTCTGAGTCAAATTTTGCTCTGGAGCCACACAGATGTCTAGACTCCTTTTTGATATGATAGCTCCGCAAAGACGTGAAAATACTGGTCATGAAATACCTCTTTTCTTGATGAAACATCAAATTCCTTCAACAGCTCCTTGAACAAAATGGCACTGAGAGCCTCAGGCCATGCAAGATGTTCCTCTCTGGATGCATCTACTTTGCCAATGTTCACCTCAAACTCCTGTGCCATGAATGGTCATAGTTCACACGAGCTTTTTAGAGCAAAGTACATTATAATGATCATCAACTTCATTCTGGTCAGAAGACTTTCCAGGTCTTATTTTGCTTCTTTGGCACCCATGTGGACTCATGCTGAGGTGGCCTTCTCCACAAGCTGTGGCACAGGTCTGAGGTCAGGGGTCATTGAAAACTTCCTTATGAAGCATCATTGGCTTCCACTCCAGTCCTCAACGCTCCTCAAACCACATCTCAATGCGAGTCATTAATAGCATGGTAAATTAATCAAATACCTATCCAATCCCTCCAGTTTCCTCTATTTTTCCTTCGCTTGATTCCACTCATTCTAAAGTCTCAGCTCTGAGTTCAACAAAGCCCAGTTCTTTCTGCTGATCCTGCCCTCCCGTGGGAACTTACTGCCTTGTGCTACAAGCTGCCCTTCCTGCCAGCTGGTCTGCAGGGCTCTTTGCTGCTTGTCTGACCTCCCTCCAAGAGCTGCCACAGCTCCCAGCTCAGGCAGCTGAGCCTCTATTCCAAGAGGGTGGACACTCCAGGTCCTACCGCTCTGGGATGAGCTGGCCACTCTGGCATGCTTCTATCCAGGGACTGGATAGCTGTGTGGCCACAGCTGTGCTTGGGTAAATGGACACCAATTAAAGGATTACTGGCAATGAGAAGTCAGTCCTGATTCTCATTTGATTGGAAAGGGAATTTGGGACTCAATGATAGAGCTGCCACAGCCACGTGTCTTCCCCAATCCACCTGCTCTGATTCCATCCAGGACTGCCACAAATCTAGGCATGTCCCAAAATAAAGCAATCATTAGATAAGAGGATAAGTGTGTGGTCAGGGGCCAGCAATTAGTCAGTTGGGCCCAGTATATAAACTCCCTATCTTCAACTGAACCTAGAAAAGGCTCTTCCCAGCCCAGGCTTCTCCTGGTCTTCTTGCAAGGTAAACTAGTCTTTTTCCTCCCTTTCAAGTCTTTGTCTTTTTCTAAGAAAGTCTTTGAATCTCAGCTCTCCTTTTCCTCAACAGCTATATCTTCTCATTCTTTAAAAAACTTTTAATACCGGCTGGGCGTGGTGGCTCATGCCTGTAATCCTAGCACTTTGGGAGCCTGAGGCGGGTGGATCACCTGACGTCAGGAGTTCGAGACCAGCCTGGCCAACATGGCAAAACCCCGTCTCTACTAAAAATATGAAAATTAGCCAGGCGTGGTGGTGGGTGCCTGTAATCCCAGCTACTGGGGAGGCTGAGGCAAGAGAATCGCTTGAACCTGGGGGACAAACGTTGCAGTGAGCCAAAGATAGCACCACTTCACTCCAACCTGGGTGACAGAGTGAGACTCTGTCTCAAAAAAAAAAATTAATTCCTCCCAGCAACTGCTGCCACAGTTACTGCTCACCCAAGTGCTGCCGTTGACGAATCAAGCCACTACCTCCCTTTTGAGCTCACCAGCACCATTTCTATCACTGTCTTAAAAAATGCAGTTTCCAGGTTCTAAACTCTCCATCTGTTCAAATTCTTCTGCCTGCCCCTCCACAAATTTCTATCCCTTTTCCCACCATCACCTCCCCTGACAACCCCCACTTTCCATCTTCTCCTTTTCCCCACTTTTAAATCATATCAAAACCCCTCCTCCATAGGCAAAGAGCTTCTTAGAAAGCAGCACCTACTTTCTTGTTCAGATACCAAGAATATTCAGCTCTGTTATGCACAATGGATCTTAGGGGAAAATTCTAAGCAAATTGTTCTACAGACTAAAAAACCCCACAGAAAAGGAGGGATTATGTGTGTGCCCTGTGCTATAATTGAAAGGGGAGACCTAGAATCAGTGGGGTTCCAAGTTTAATGAATGCCAGATTGAAGAGGAGCTTAATCACTCTCTCCAAATATCAAATGCATCATCTACCATCCCCATTTTCATATAGAATAGAGGCAAAGCTTACAGGATTAAGTCTGAGAAGATCTGGTAGGTCTGTACTTGATCTCAGCCAAAAGGCCAAGAAGCGAAGCGATTTAGCAGATCTGGACGAACACTCTATGTATGATCCCACGTCCTTTCATGAAACACCCTGGTGCTGCAGATCCACTGTCACTTGGGGACTCATTGTGATGGAAGCTTCTCCTAGTTAGAATGGATTTACATGTCTTTATCACATCCTTCTGCACCCCTTTTCCTTATGGTCAATTAAATATTTGTTGATTTTAGTATTCATGCACTGAAAACTCAATTTAAATCTGTAAATGGGTATATATAGATATATATATAAAATAAGAGCTTTTTTTTTTTTTGAGACGGAGTCTCGCTCTGTCGCCCAGCGTGGAGTATGATGGTGTGTTCTCAGCTCACTGCAGCCTCCACCTCCCAGGTTCAAGCAATTCTCCTGCCTCAGCCTCCTGAGTAGCCGGGACTTCAGGCACCTGCCACCACGCCGGGCTAATTTTTGTATTTTTAGTAGAGACAGGGTTTCACCATATTGGCCAGGCTGGTCTCAAACTCCTAACCACATCATCTGCCCGCCTCAGCCTCCCAAAGTGCTGGGATTACAGGCGTGGGCCAAAATAAGAGCATTATTAAAGGCCAATACATGACACAACGAACCAACTCAAGAATTCACCTGGACCTAGAACCCTAATGAAAAATGCCTGGTGACAGAAGGATTTGAAGATGCTTGGAAGTTATGAAGTAGACAAAGTTCAAACTTCAAAAGGCTTGACAAAAGCCAAAAAAAAAATTGCGAGGTACCGTGGCTCACACGTGTAATCCCAGCATTTTGGGAGGCTGAGGCAGGAGGATCCCTTGAACCCAGGAGTTCAAGACCAGCCTGGACAATACAGCCAGACCCCATCTCTAAAAAGATAATAACAAAATTAGCCAGGCATGATGGCACACACCTGTAGTCCCAGCTACTTGGGAGGCTGAGGTGGGAGGATCACTTGAGCCCAGGAGTTTGAGGTTGCAATGAGCTATGATTGTGCCATTGCACTCCAACCTGGGTGACAGGGCCAGACCCTGTCTCTAAAAAAAAAAAAAAGTAATAAAATTTAAAAAGCTGCAAAACTTAGGATGATTAACAATGAGACTTTTTTTAAAAAAAATAGGTACTCATAAAGAGCTAGAACTCTATCTGAGAAAGCATAAATCTAATGCAAACTGAAAAACAAATAAATGCAAATAAAAGTGATATTGCCTTGGAAGGGCTGAGTAAGAGGGATCTTTTCCATTTTTGTATGCATCTAGGTCAAAAGTAAACAAATAAAAAAATAAGCAAAAGAGGAAATACAAGTTCTTGCCTTTGGGAAGGTCTATTTTGACATGAACGTATACAGACTGAGAAGATAAAAATCAAGGTCCCCAGAGATATATAAACCAACCCCTTCATTTGATAGATAAGAGAACTAAGGCCAGGAAAGACCAAATGACTGTCACTTACAGAAATGAGACTGCACCCTAGGGCGTCTGATTACTATTATGACAATGAACTTCTCCATTCTATCACTCGCCAGTTTACTCAAGAAAAAAATAGGGCTAAACTCCCAAGGAAATAATTCTGCAGAAGCAAGAAGCTATATGCTCAGGACTCTTCATTGCACTGATGAAGTAGGGAATTTACATGTTAAACAGGAAATGGTCAATTGTATTGATTTGGCATGATGAACGTGATTACAATTATGGAAAATGATGATTTAGGCTGGGCATGGTGGCTCACGCCTGTAATCCCAGCATTTTGTGAGGCCCAGGCGGGCAGATCACAAGGTCAGGAGATCGAGACCATCCTGGCTAACACGGTGAAACCCCGTCTCTACTAAAAATACAAAAAAAAAAAAAGAAAGAAAATTAGCTGGGCATGGTGGCAGGCGCCTGTAGTCCCAGCTACTCAGGAGGTTGAGGCAGGAGAATGGCGTGAACCTGGGACGTGGAGCTTGCAGTGAGCCGAGATCACGCCACTGCACTCCAGCCTGGGCGACAGAGACAGACTCCGTCTCAAAAAAAAAAAAAGAAAAGAAAATGATGATTTAAAGGCTATGTAGAAACATGTACTGGACATTTTCTGCGTTAAGTGGAGAAAAGTAGAGTACAAAATCAGAGACAGTATAGTGTCAGTCACCCCTGAGTGTGAATTCCAGCTCTGCCCCTTATTAGCTCCATGGCCTTAAGGAAGTCATTCAACTACTCTGAACCTCAATTTTATTGTCTCCAAAAGAATAGTAGTAGTATGTATCTTACAGGATTGTTGTGAAGCTAAATAAAAATGAATGTGAGAATAATGTCTGCCATATAGAAATGTTCAATGTTAACCACTGCTGCTATCATAATTATACCATAAATTCAATTACAAATGTGCTGAACAAGGATTGGAAAGTGATAGGCAAAAATGAAAACAACTACAATGGTAAGAGGAAGAGATTATAAATATGTGTGCTTTTTAATTTCTCTAAAATGTTACATCATTTTCCAATAAAGAAAAAAGCATTTTAAGTAGGAACCCAAAAAAATCCCATACTTGGGACCTGCGTCCTAGTCTCAACTTTTTCCTCCAGGGGCCCAAGGCTTCCTGTGCCCAGTTCCTAAGGCTCCGGTGGCATCTGTTGGAGAAGGTGAACAGTATCCTGAACCCCTTAGTCAGGAGGACACATTCTAGAATCTAGAAGGTGCTGTCTTGGTCAGATCAGACCCTGAGAGAACAGCTGTAGCTACCAATTGAATCAGATTCATTCATTCATGCAGCATTCACTCATTCATCCATATACTTTTTGAATCACTGTTATATGCAAGGAACTTTTAAAGAATTACTCTGACCCAATGTATGAATTTGGAATAATCTCCAAAATACTATATAAGAAAGCAAGCTTCAGAACACTGTGTATAGAATTCTACTATTTGTATTAAAAATAGATATATAAATATACATATTTATAAACTTGTAAATGCATAGAATTGCTATGAAAGGATACACAACATATAGATAACAGTGATTAACTCTGGAGAGGGGACTAGAGGCTGACCTCCATGGGGAAGCTTACCATTTATTGTATACCCTTTTGTATTGTGGAATGTCTTACCATGTATATGTATTAATTTTTCAAAACAAAAAAACAAACAAACAAAAAAAGAAACTGCCTGGTGCTGAATATACAGTGGTGAACAGGACAGAGGTTCCCCAGTCTTGGGGAAGGCAAAGTGTTGAGCTTACTGGGCCACAATTATCAAATTTTTTAAAACCAGACTGTTTACATAAGTTAAGGGGAAAGTTCTTTCTACAACAATTAGCTTATAATAATTCAGCATATCATTTTACAGAGATAAAGCAGTTGGAAAATAAATACTAAGTAATTTGTCAAGTCTTAGACTGTATTAAGTTGTAGTTTCTACAAGGGAAGGGATCTTATCTGTTTAACTTGATCAGTAGAGCATTCACTGCAGCATAATGTGCAGATAAACGCTTGTTACAGCAAGCATTTTCTGATGATGACAAATGATAGCACAACCATTTAAAAAAATCTTGAAAAAGAAAAGACCAGAAGATGCTGGACTCTGAGGGAACTGTGTGTTCCCTGTGAGGGTTAGGCAACCTTTTCTAGACAGTCCTCAAAAAATGATGGTGTTCAAATGGCAAGGTAAATCCCAATGAGAATGAAAGGTTGTAGAGATACCACGTTTCGAAATGTCAACGGTGTGATGCTCGAGGCCCTCCTTGGGGTGACAAGGCACAGATGGACTCCAAAGAGAACCTGGCACTTGGCAGGGCACCCCAACTGCATGGGAAGTAGGAAAGCAAATGTCTGGGGGGCTGCAAACCACTGACAAGCTGGCAGCCTGTCAAAGCAGCCTTGGTCACTAACGAGCACAGTGGTTGACAGGCTTGACTCAGCACCATCACTACAGGTAGCCTCTGCACATCGTTTAACCTCTCGGAGCCTCGGTTTCTTCTCCGTAAAATGGAGGACAACTGTGAGATCTTTGTGAGGATTAAAGGAGAGAATCACCAGAAAGTGTTCAGTAAGATGCTAGGCACACAAGGAGGGCTTAAAATGCTATCTTCACTCTTACTAAAGAATGGCTAGGTGTCTGGGCCACTTCATAACTGCTAATCAGCATCCAAGTCCAAACAGCAGACAAAATGTGCTCCACCCTCCATGCCCTAAGGTCAAGTAAAGATTTCCCCACATTCATATAGTGTTTTATAAACTAGAAAATACTTTCACATTCATAAGCTCACAAAAGCCTGTGAAGCCAGTTGGATGGGAATTACTAACTCTATTGTGAAGGAGAGGAGACAGTGAGGTTAAGGGATTTGTTAAGAGCTGGCTAAGGACAGAATCCAGGCCAGGACCCAGGTTTTCCAGGGACTGGCTCAGCATTTTTCCAACTCACGTTCTTCCCAGGAAGGAGATGTATATCTGGGGTCACGACAGGTGGTCAAACCTGCAATTCTACCATCTCTGCCTGCTCTCCAGCTACCACTGTGTCTGAGCAGGAAGGGATCCAGCCAGTCATTTCAAACCCTTCTATCAGCCTCCTCTGGAACCCATTCCTGTGAATGGACCCAGGGTACAGGGATGGCTTCCTGTAACTAGAATTAGGCATGGGACAACAGCTACGGCAGGTCTAGGTCTGGCTTTGCAGGTAGCTGGAAACAGGCCTGGGTTGCCCCACTGCCAGCTGGGGAGGCAGGGAAGTGGCAGCCTTGCCAGGAAGAGCAATTATTAAAAGGGTGCAGACAGCGAGAGTCTCTCTGAAAGTGAGGCAACCTTTCCCACTGCCATTAGCATTTCCACTAAAAACTTGGCATTTGATAGAGGGGAAAAAATGTATTTTTTCAACTGTGAAAAGGTCAGGCATATTTATCTGACTTAATAATTTATAATTGATATTTAATGCCTCCTTGAAAGATGACCTCTAAGCACCCGGCCAGCACCCTCTTCCCTTTACTCCACTACATCCTGCTGGGCGCAACCCCATGCCACCTGGGTTAGAGGTCAGACGACACCTCCACACAGCCTGCTCCTCGTGCTTGGGTGGGCCCTGACTCCACCATCAGTGAAAAGACAGCCAGTCTCCCAAGTCTAATCCCAGTTCTGCCACATTTGAGTTCTCTGTGGCAGTAGCGATGCTGTAAGAAATAAGAAACCTCTTGAATGCTATAAGAAAATTATAAAATTCCTCTTCTCCACCCCCTTTTCCCTTTTTACCAGTAAGGGGTTCTCTTATGTTGAAAATCAACTGAAGGAAAGATGAAGGTGCCTAGAAAATTTCGATACGCCCTAAAGCCAATGTCACTAGCCTGGAGATCTTGGAGGTGACTTGACCATTGTGGAGCCGCTCCCCTCACCCCTTCAGAAGGTCTCTAGAGAACTAAGTAGTACAGGGCTCCCGGTTTCCTAACCACAAGCTCCAGAATCTAGAGAAGGCCTTCCTTAGACAGTAGGAAGTATTGTTCTCCCTCAGAGATGGGACAAACAGGGGAAGTCTGGGAAAGACCCTTGGGTGGAATAGGGTGGGGCCAGGCTCACTTGGAGAGGAATACAAGAGCCTACCTGCATGGTGAGAAGATTTTTTATTTGAAATATAGTCTGAGCAACATGAGTGTAGCCAAGAGGAGTAGGGGCTGGCCTGCCTGGGGCAGCAGCCTCTCAAATGGCACGAGAGCAGTACAAATATTCCAATGTCTGTGTGCCCCAACCCCACCTGTCAGGAAAGGCAGAACAGCAGAACAAAGACCCACCCACAGCGCCTTCTCAAGGGGTCTGGTTCTTGGTGCCTGCCTGCCTTTGCCTTACCTCCTGCTCTGCCCAGGTTCCAAACAGAGGTGTGCAGCAGAGGTTTCTCCCACCCCACCCACAGAGACATGATGAGCCAGTGTGACAATTAGTTCTCAGGACTATTTTGAGGGAAAAGAATCAGAGAAGACAGGGAGGAGGGGCAAGGTGATCAAGGGCCCTCGCCAAACCAGACTAGGCAGAGCTCTCCCAGAGGGACTGTGTCAGCACCCCTCATTTCCCTCCTTCTCAGGATCTAAAGGCAGGAAGGAGAGCTGGTGTCTGCAGGAAAATAGAGCTCTGAGGAGCGCCCTGGCTGAAGGCAGCAAGCGGGAACCTCCCAGAAGAGCACAGCCGCTGTGGGGTTCAAGCCTAGTTGACAGCAGTGGGGTTGGGCCACATAAGCAGCTTGGGGTTGGAAGGACACAGACAAGAGATGGGGCACCAAGAAGCAGCGAAAAGCCATAAATAACAGAAGCAAATTCAGAGCTGTGAGGGTCCTGGCCGACCCCACATTTCCTGGGGCTGGGGGATACCCAGCACTGGCAGCTCAGGGCAGACACTACTCCAGGGTACAACCGGTCACACTCACACTGGGGGCAGAGCCTTTTATTTTCCACGGTCCGCAGGGCAGGTGGAAGACACTTCGGCACCACCCCTGACCATGCACACTGCAAAGTCTCCGGTCACACCTGAGGGGACAGTGTGTGGCTGTCCTGGTCCTGAGAGGCCTGTGGTTGACTGTGATCATTGTGGCCACCATCGTCCTCAGGGGCCGGGCCCAGCAATCTCCTCGCCTCTGGGTCAGCTGACAAAGGCTCACCGGCACATTCTTCCAGTCCATTCTCTCTAGTCTCCATGGGCACCTCCTCCCCGGAGCCCTCCTCTGGCTCTGCCACCTCCACTGCCATCTCCGCTGCCGCCGCCTCCTCTTCCTCCTCCTCCTCCTGGTCTCTCACCTTGTGGACAATGAAGAGGTGGCGGCTGAGGGAGCTGGCAGAGGTGTAGCACAAACCACAGAGGAGACATTGGGCTGTGGAGCTGTCCACCTGGTGCTGAGGTATGTGGCTCTGAAACTCGAGCCCCGAGTCTGTGGCAAAACTACATTTCGCGCACTGAAAAAGGGACTTGTGCCTTTTGGTGGAAGAGACAGTTGCGCCATTGCTGGTGCCTGGAGCGTCCCCCACTCCACTGACTGGTCTTTTCAGATGGTTCACCTAAAAGGAGAGACAGCATGAGCAAAGTCCAGGCCAAGCCCTGGACATGAGCCCCTAGACATAACCATGAGCCCAAGGACTCAAAGAAAGCACCACCCAGGCCAGGGTCACCCCAGCCCTGAACGCTGGTTTACGTTTGGTTTGTTTCAATTCTTTGTTTTGTAATGTAACATATGCATGTGTCACAATACTCCAAAGGCACGGGAAGGGTATAGAGACTACCCCACTCCCCAGACCTGCTCTCCAAAGAACATATTACCTGGGTTTGTGGCTCCTCCAAGAGGTATCCTATGCCTATACAAAAACAAAACTATTGTCTTTTACAAAATATGGCATGCCATGCATACTTTTCTTTTTCTTTTTGAGGCAGGGTCTTACTCTGTTGCCCAGGCTGGAGTGCAGAGGCACAATCACAGCTCACTGCATCCTTGACCTACCGGGCTTAAGCGATCCTCCCACCTCAGCCTCATGAGTAGCTGGGACTACAAGTGAACATCACCAAACCCAGCTAATTATTTTATTTTATTTCATTTCATTTTTGAGACAGGGTCTCATTTTGTTACCCAGGCTGGAGTGCAGTGGCGTGATCACAGCTCACTGCAGTCTTACCTCAGAGCTTAAGCGATCCTCCCACCTCAGCCTCCTGAATAGATGGAACTATAGGTGCACACCACCACACCCAGCTAATTTATTTACTTATTTATTGTAGAGACAGAGTCTCCCAATGTTGCCTAGGCTGGTCTCAAACTCCTAGGCTCAAGTGATCCTTCCACCTTGGCCTCCCAAAGTGATGGGATTACAGGCATGAGCCACCGCACCCAGTATATGCATGCTTTTCTTCACCCTGTGTTTTTCTTGTTTTTGTTTTTGTTTTACTTAACAACATACATTGGAGCATGTTTCCATGGGAGAACATACAGAGGCTTCATTCTTCTAAAGGCAGCACACTAACCCAATGTGGGGATGAGAAGTCCCCAACGGCAGACATTTAGCTGAGTTCCGTCTTTGTTACTGCACACAGTGCTGCAGCAAACATCCTTTAGCAGACTTCTTTATGCCCAAGGCAAAAGATCTCTCTAATAGACAAATCCTAGAAGCAGAATTGCTGGATCAAAGGGTATGTGCATTTTGGGGGAAGGGAGGATGTACATTTTACAATTGGACAGGTGTTGCCAAAAACATCAATCGATACCCCCAGCTACTACGCATGAAAGGTGCTTTGCCAACTACTGACACCATCTGATTAGGCAAGAACGTTTTTAAGAATGCCTTGAAACTCCAGGCAGCTCTTAGGACTTCCCAGACACACCTGACCCTTCTGTGGAACAGCACCCCCCTACCATGGTATGGAGAGAGGCTGGAGTGAGGAGGAAAAACCAGGCTGCTCCAAAGTTCACCAGAAATCAGAATAGGGCATGGAACAGGGATGAGGTCATAGGGCAAGGGGCCAGGATAGAAGGTTCTAGGCCTGGCTCTTCCTATAACTAGTGAGAAGGTTGGGGGGTGAGTTGGCCAAACATCATTATCCTCATCTGACAAGGTAGTCCTGTGTGCTCCCGCCTCAGGACTGCTGTGAAGCAGAAAGAGAATGGTATGTGTGAAAATGCACCAATGTCCACAGAGCACAGCACACCCCTACAGAGGGGGCCGTGGTGACAGGGAAGCAACAGTAACAAAAGGCTGACAGGCCACCTTATGGGTCTTTGTCCTTATCCCCTACTTGTGTCCAGTGCCAGGCGGGTCACACAGGACTAGAGAGTGACCCACATTGAGGGAAGCTGTCACTCTGGTTGTTCCATGGCCACAACAGTAGCCTTCCTAATGCCCTTCCAGCTCCAAGCCTCACTGAGCAGCCAGCTCCAATAGGCAGGGAGCCCACACTCACCTGAGGGGAATGTCCACCCGGAGGTTTCACTTTGGACGTCTGGCTCAAATCAGGGTTTCTGATGCCATGCATAAGGCTGATGTGGCTCTCCAGAAGGGAGGGCCGAGGAAAGCTGGGGCTGTCCTCTGTGCAGTACCTGCAGAAGCACAGCGGAGAGGTCAGGTAAGTGCCCGGGCCGCAGGCTCCCTCAGTGCTATTCACACCAAGGCCAGGAAGGAGGGAGTCTGGAGCAGACTCCTGGGCTGGCTAGTGCTGGGAACCCCAGAGAGATCCAGCCAGCAGGCCAGCCAAGGTAGCAGACAATAGCACGTCAGAATACTTGCACTCTTGACACCTGGCACTCAGCCACAATCTCACTGAACACTACCTGATGTCACCGCCCAGAGACCCAAGTGCTAGGCTAGTAGTCACAGTGAAAGGGCCTGGGGCCACCCCAAGGCACAGGCAGATGGTGCAGAAGCCTCTCGGCCCCAGGGGTGCATGCTCACATCACCACCCCTCCTCTTAAACCTCAGGATGCTTCGTGACTGATGGGCTGTGCAGTCCTGGGCTAGAGAGTGACGAGAGAGGGCTCAGGAGCTACCAGGTTCTGGAAGCTGATTTTTGACCTGCCCCTGATTTCTGACTTAGCCGCAATTTCTTCCAGTTGGAAATCACTTGTCTCTTGTCTTAGACACCTGATCTTGCAGCACAGAAAAGCCCCAGTGGTGCCACGGACAGAGTCTTTTGAACCTCAGGCCTCCTCACTACTATCCCCAGGGACTCACCCGCAGGTGTAGAACTTCTTTACTGTGTCATGGTTGTTGCGGATGTGTTTGCGCAGGCTGTTGGGGGTGTGGAAGGACTGTTCACACTGCCGGCATGGGTACCGCTTCAATGTCTAAGGAAGGAGGTGGCAACACACAAAGCATCAGAACTGTAAGATAGTTCTGGGTGCATTTTTCTTCTCAGATGCCATGGGCAGAAAGGAGGATACTCCCGAAGACCTCAAGATCTGTGGTACCCACCCTGCCCTAAGCACCAGGAACCCTAGGGGTTCTGGCTTCACAGAAGGAAGTCCAGAGGACTGGGCTCTGCATTATGACTGTGTGGCTGCACTTACCCGACCGTGGCTCTTTTTCATGTGGGACACGTAGCTCTCCCGATCTGGAACCCACTCCTGGCACTCCTGGCAGGTCCAGCCAGTGTTCCTCAGCCGCGGCCTGGCTTCCACCCTGCGGTGGGCTTCAGGCCTACCCCAGCGGCCAGAAGGCAGGGAGCTGCTCCGAGCAGCCACACTAGTGGCTGGTGGCTCAGTGGGAACTCGAGAGCCAGGGCGGCTTGAGGATGTGTCCGCTGAAGACTGGAGGCTTGACAGCTCGTCCACATTTCGGGGAACACCGTGGGTGCTCTGGGGATGGGGAGAGCGATTACTGACTGGGCAAGGGGAAAGATGCACAGAGTCAGACCCCCAGCCTGAGGCATGTGCCCTCCTCCCCGGCCTCCTCCCGCAAGGCATCCCACCTTGACGTGTTGCATCAACTCCGGCTTCTGCACGAACAAGAGTGGGCACTCAGGGCACTTGAAGACGCCCACCTGCGTCTTGCTGACATTCTGGTAAAAATGCTGCTGAATGTGCCTCTTCTTGTTGAAGACCATTTCACAGGAGCACTTATAAATGAGCCTGATGAGACAAGCCCTAGGGGGTGAGGTGGCCAAGGCACCATGCAGCCCCTCCACCCATCTCTGCTCTCTCTGAACCAGGGTCAAGTTTGGGAAAGCACTACCCTGAGCCAATGTGGATGCTCCCCTGCCTCAGGACATCCTTAGTACGACCCCAGGCACCTCTGCCACTAACCCCAGCTCCCTCACCCATCCCTATGCCACCCCCTACAGCACCCAGGCTACTCCTCTCTGCTCCACAGGGCCTGCTGGCCCTGGAGCTGCACTCACTGGGAGGGTCTGTGGGGCTGGGTGGGGTGCTGGGTGGCACTGTGGTCTGCAGTGCTGCTGGCAGTCTTGAAGGCCATGGGGCAGAATGCACATTTGTGGAAAACCTGGCAGTGTCGCTCCTGGATGTGGCTTTTCAGCAAGGCCAAGGTCAGGTGGACGACACCACAGTGGATGCACCTAGACAGAAGTGGGGTAGTGTGAGTGTGGGTGGAGTATAGGGAGTACTGGACCCAGAGGTGGTGCTGCAAGAGGAGGGATGGAGAAGAGGAACAGAACTATCCAGGCACCTTCTCCCTCCCTCAATCACTTGGACTTCCACCCTTGACAAGTACGTCCTGAGGGTCTGCTTGCTACAGTCTAGCACAATGTGGCCACACAGTGGCCCCCAAGCCCAAGGCCACGCCTTGTACAGAAGGGAGAAACCCCAACCTTCCCTGCACTGGCCAGAGGATATTCTGCAAACCAAAAACCTGAGCCTACCTAAGAGAAGTTGGTGGAAGTGGAGAGGGAAGAAAATGGTTCAATAATGGCATAAACAGTATTTAAGTGTGAGGCAACTGTAGAAGTCCAAGAATTTCCGAAGGAGGCTGCACAAAGCCCATGCCTTCCCACAGGCTGGTATGAGTAAGTAGGGATGACCACTTAACAAAACATACAGTCAGGCAATGCTATGGTCACCAAAACAACAACTACATTAAAAAAACCCTTAAAGCCCAGGAAGAAATACTCTATAGTGTTGTCCAGTGGAACTTGCTGTGATGAAGGAATGGTCAATAGTTCCACTGGGGCGGGCACGATAGGTCACGCCTGTAATCCCAGCACTTGGGGAGGCCAAGGAGGGTGGATCACACGAGGCCAGGAATTCAAGATGAGACATGGCCGACATAGCAAAACCCTGTTTCTACTAAAAATACAAAAATTAGTGGGCATGGTGGCACGTGCCTGTAATCCCAGCTACTCAGGTGGCTGAGGCAGAATTGCTTGAACCCGGGAGGCAGAGGTTGCAGTAAGCCGAGTTTGTGCCACCGCATTCCAGCCTGGGTGACAGAGTGAGAACCTGTCTCTTGGGGGGGAGCGGGGGAAGCTCCACTGTTCATGTGGCCACGTGGCTATTTAAATAACAAAAAAATAAAAATAAAAATTCAGTTCCTTAGTTGCACTGGCCACATTTCAAGCACCCGGTAGCCACAAATGGCTGGTACTATACTATACTCTACTGGACCATGCAGCTCAAAAGTGCTGTGATGTCTTCCTGGTGGAACTATGGGGATAACTTTTCATTTTTTTTTCTCCCTACCAATTTGTATTTTCTGAGTTTATTTGGTGGATTTTTTTTTTACAATGCATAAATAAGATAAACAATTGTCTTAAACCATTTTTCTGAAATTGAGGCCGTATGGAACTTGTTTCAACTTCACAACATCTCTCTATAAATACTGCCTTTCCTTTTATCGATATCAGAGAATAATATGACCTTCCTCCATGCCAACCTGCATCCATAAGATTACTAGTCCCTCTCCTGTGTTCAGTCTTTCCTCCTGCCCAAGAACACACATAGGTCTCCCCTACATGACAAAACATCTTTTCCCTCTCTGCTCTTCCTTTTTATCTTCCTTTTGTTGCAATACTGTCTGCCCTCATATTATTGACATCCCCATAGGCACTAAAGAGAGGCAGGTGCTTTGCTAAAATAAAAGGCGTGCCTTCATTTAAGAATTATTTGACTCCTGAATGTTACCCTTCGTTTTTTTATATATATATATATATATATATATATAAAATATATATATATATATATATATATATTTTTTTTTTTTTTTTTTTGAGACAGAGTCTTGCTTTGTCACCCAGATTGGAGTGCAGTGGTGCAATCTTGGCTCACTGCAACCTCCACCTCCTGGGTTCAAGCGATTCTCCTGTCTCAGCCTCCCAAGTAGCTGGGATTACAGGTGCCTGCAACCACACCCGGCTTACTTTTGTATTTTTAGTAGAGACGGGGTTTCACCATGTTGGCCGCGCTGGTCTTGAACGCCTGACCTCAGGTGATCCACTGACCTCGGCCTCCCAAATTGCTGGGATTACAGGCGTGATACATTTTCACGGCCCACATAAATCCCCACAGAATCCTGAACAATCTTTTTTCTTCCTTGTGTGTATTGGAAGGGAGGGGTAGAGAATCACCTTCGAAAATTTAATTAGCAATGAAGAGCAGCCCACGGAACCAGAAAGCTTTTTGTGATAAACTCCACAGAGCATTCATTACTACATTTGTATATGCTTTAAATTAGGGTTTCTATTCAAGTTACTTACTTAATTTTCCTTTCTCTCCTGCTAAACAGAAGAGTGAAACCAACTTCTAGCACACAGAAGTATTTCCACACTACAAAGTATTATGAGGAGAAAAAAGCACATAATTCCACATTCATCCAAAGTGGCCAAGTACATCTGATATGTGTAAAGAATCTCTTAAGTGGCTTTATTTGTGCCATTTGACCAAACTCCTGCAGAAATAGTAGAAATACATTCTTTTCGAATGCTACTGAAAACTCCTTCTATGTATCTGGTAGACATTTCTTTGAGAAACCTCATTGAAAGTAAGAACACATGCAAAGTATCCTCAATGAAGGACTGAATCCAATGGTGTTTACAAGTTGATGAGAAAGTATGCAGAAAAGAGTGCCAACCATATGACACCGCACTTGACCACAGTTTTTTAAGACGAGATAGACAATTATGGAATCATATGTTGTGAAATATGTAGTTTTAGAAAAGATAATAAACAACATATTTAACTTTAATAATCACAAATAAGAAAATAACATTAAAACAGTCTAAACTTGCATCCTTATGACATCATTAGCCATTCTCCAAATTATTAATAAAGAACAGAATAATTTATGAAATTCTGAAATATATGTGTATGCATATTTTACATAAAATACATATAAATTTTATATACTTATATATTATATAAATAACCATATATAGGCTTTTTACATTATCAAGTAAAAGCAAAAATAATACAAAACATAAAATAATATTGTAAAACTCTGTAGTAGAGTTCAATAAAATGGAACATAGGTATCTTGAGAATTTACTAAAAAAATTAACATCCACAGAATGGGAGAAAATATTTGCAAATCTGACAAGTAACTTGTATTCAGAAGATATAAAAAACTCTTACAACTCAATTATAAGATGTCAAATAACCCAATTCAGAAGTGGGCAAATTATCTGAACAGACATTTCTCCAAAGAAGATGGAGTCCAGGCCGGGAGCAGTGGCTCACGTCTGTAATCCCAGCACTTTGGGAGGCTGAGGTCGGTGGATCACCTGAGGTCAGGAGTTCAAGACCAGCCTGACCAAAATGGTGAAACCCCGTCTCTACTAAAAATACAAAAATTAGCCAGGAATGGTGGTGGGCGTCTGTAATCCCAGCTATTCAGGAGGCTGAGGTGGGAGAAGTGCTTGAACCCGGGGTGGCGGAGGTTGCAGTGAGCTGAGATAGCGCCACTGCACTCCAGCCTGGTCAACAGAGTAAGACTGTCTCAAAAAAAAAAAAAAGTTGGAGTCCAATAAGCACATGATCAACACCGTTAACCATCAGGGAAACAAGATACCATTTCACACCCATAAGGATGGTTACAATCAAAAAGACAATAACAAGTGTTGGCAAGGGTGTACAGAAATCAAAACCTAGATACACTGCTGGTGGGGATGTAAAAACGCTGCAGTCACTTTGGAAAATAGTCTGACAGTTTCTCAAAAAGTTAATCAGAGTTACTACTTTTTTTCCTCTTTTAAAATTATATTTTAAGTTTGGGGATACATGTGCAGAATGTGCAGGTTTGTTACATAGGTATACACGTGCCATGGTGGTTTGCTGCACCCATCAACCCGTCTTCTACATTAGGTATTTCTCCTAATGCTATCCCTCCCCTAGCCCCCCACCCGCTGACAGGCCCCAGTGTGTGATGTTCCCCTCCCTACAGAGTTACTATTTGACCCAGCTATTCTACTCCTAGGTATCCAAAGCAACTGAAAACATGTCCACATGATAACTTGTACATGAATGTTCTTCAGCAGCATTATTCATATTATTCATTATTCATGAAGCCAAAAGGGGAAACCAACCCAAAGGTCCATCAGCTGACAAATGGATAAACAAAACATGGTGTATCCCCGCAATGGAATCTCAGCCATAATAAGGAATGAAATACTGATATATGCTACAACATGGATGAACCTTGCAAATATGCTAATAATATTACATAATTCCACTTATATGACATGTCCAGAAGAGCTATGAGACAGAAAGTAAATTAGCGATTGCCTAGGGCTAGGGGGGAAGAAAGAAGTGGTGGATATGAGGTTTCTTCTTGGATAGTAAAAATGCTCTAAAATTGTTTGTAGTGATTGCACAACTCTGTTATGAACACTGTAGTGTTGTGTATGTCTTCTGACTTCAACCGCAGATCACTGAAAATTTTAATATCGCTATCTTCAGTAATCCCTTTCGCTGAGTCACAATTCATTTGGTCTGGCATTCCTTACAAAAAGGTTTGATAAACTGAACTGCTTTTGAGACATTTCTTTTTACTTGTACATAAGAAAATATGTAATTAAAAATGAAAAGTATTAATCCATCCGTACAATTAAACATTTCTTGGGCCAGGTGCAGTGGCTCATGCCTGTAGTCCCAGCACTTTGGGAGGCCAAGCCAGGTGGATCACCTGAGGTCAGGAGTTTGAGACCAGCCTGGCCATCATGGTGAAACCCCATCTCTACTAAAAATACAAAAATTAGCCAAGCGTGGTGGCACATGCCTATAATCCCAGCTACTCAGGAAGCTGAGGCAGGAGAATTGCTTGAACTCGAGAGGTGGAGATTGCAGTAAGCCAAGATGCTGCCACTGCACTCCAGCCTGGGTGACACAGCGAGACTCCATCTTTAAAAAAAAAAAAATTTTTTTTCTTGGATTCAAGATTCAAAGATAAATATTTAAGTGTTGATTGTATTACTATTGGATTGGATTTGATCTTAGAACAAGCAGCATACACTTAAATCAAGGCTAGAAAGGTATTTTTAAGTGTTACAGGATACTGTAAAAACATATTCAGATGTTTGGTTTAAAATATAGCCTGGGATGCTGCCAAGCAATGCTCCTCAGCAACTTGGTGGTAAGTGCTTTGTATAATCCTGTCTTAGGTTTGTCTTGTTTTTAATGTACTTTAGATACTCCATCCTCCATAAGATGAAAAAGAAATCAGTCTACATTTTTAAATGTTTATAATGCCAGGCACGGTGGCTCACGCCTGTAATCCCAACACTTCGGGGAGTTGAGGTGGGAGGATCGCTTGAGCCCAGGAGTTATGTGACCAGCCTGGGCAACATGGTGAAACCCTCTCTCTACAAAAAGCACAAAAAGTTAGCCAGGCATGGCAGTGCATGCCTGTAGTCCCAGCTACCTGGGAGGCCGAGATGGGAGGATCACCTGAGCTCGGGAGGTCAAGGCTGCAGTGAGCCACGATCACACCACTGCCCTCCAGCCTGGGTGACAGTGAGACACTGTCTCAAAAAAATATACAAATAAAATGTTTACCCCAAGACAGAAATGTGGGAGTCATTGCAAAACTTTAATATACGTGTTAGCTTCCCAGAATGATCTTTCTAAAACATACTAGCCAGATTACTGCCCTGCTGCAAATCCTTCTGTAGCTCCTCAATGTCCGCTGGAAAATGTCCAAATGCCTGCCAAGAAATATAAGGTCTTGCATGGCCTAGCCTCGCCTCTGCCAAACTCCTCATCCCTCATTCCATATAAAAGCTATTGTCAAATCTTGATGCTTCTTCCTAAACCCCTGTCAAATCTACCTTCTCTCCATTCCCACGATCATGCCTTCAGTGAAGCCCTCAGCATCTCATCTGGACCATCATACTTGCCTTTCAAGAAGTCTTCAGTCTCTCTCCTCACTAATATATGTGTTCGCTTCCCAGAATGATCTTTCTAAAATATACTAGCCAAATCACTCCCCTGCTGCAAATATTTCTGTAGCTCCTCACTGTCCATTGGATAAAGTCCAAATGTCTGCCAAGAAATACAAGGTCTTGCATGGTCTGACCTCTGCCAACTCCCTAGTCTCATTTCTCCCCACTCCCACAATTCATCCTGACATTCCTCTATACAACCATACTCATCATTCCTGACACCTCTTTTGTGTATGCTGTTATTCCTGGTCAGGCCCTTGCCAGGTATGGTTTCCCCTTCTTTTGTCTGAAAATCTCCTAATATCTCCTTTAGGAAGCTTTCCTGACCATTTCTCTATTGTGGGACTTAGCACTCTGGGTTATAATTACCTATGTTCTTATGTTTGTAACCTACCAGGGCAAGGGCTGTGTCTTAATCATTTTTGTATCCTGAGTGTCTAACACAATGCCGAAGACAATAATAAGTACACACAAAAAAGTCAAATGAACTAAAACCAAAAAAAAAAATTTAATGCCAAAGAGCAGAAAACAACTTACAGATCAATGAGCTCTAGAGGGAAGTTTTTTCCCTCACTTTGATCTTTTCCCTGAAAATGACTTCTTGCTTATGTTTGACACAAAGGAGGAAATTCCATTGAAAATAAGAGTTTTCTTGGTTTTACCAAGAGGCTGATCCTTTTTTCCAGTCTCAGGTTTTGCCCATTTTGCCACAAACTGACAAAAATTAACAAAAAGAAAGATACTAAAGCCCTTTGAGTTTGGCATCTTGCAGCCCCATTTGTTAAAACCTGCAAACATTTCCAAGTACTGTAATTAGTACATTCATTATTGAAACAGCACTTTACATTTAATGTGCCAAACATAACTTGGTGAGCAAATTAAACTTACATACGTTTTAAAACCAAATAGACAAAGTATTATATGTCTAATCTCCCCAAAACTTCAAAGCTAATTTTCTAATATTTAAGTTTTTAAAACTCCTTATTCTTCTCTCTCTTGTTCTTCCTGTCTGCTACCAAATAAAAAATGTCTGTCCACATACCATCCAATGCTCTTGTCCTGTGTAGACTGGAACCCAAGCCTCTTAAGACCAAAACTATCTGAAATGAGTTCTGGCTTAGGAAAAGGACCAGCCATTGGGCAATACCAGGACAGCAAGCCAGGCAGCACCCACCTGTAGCCCACCTTGCGGGCATAGTGCAGGCAATTCTCCTTTACATGGGTCTGGAAGTAGGCAGAGCGGCAGAGGACCCCACACTCCGGGCAGCAGTAGGGGGACTTGTGTGCATGAATCCGCTGGTGGGCACAGAAACTGCACTGGTTGGGCAGCAGCATTTGGCATACCTGGCAGGTCTAGGAAAGAACACCAAGAAAGCAGATCATGCAGGGGCCATAGGCCTGTGGCTCTCCAATCAGGGCTGTCTGGTTTGCTAGTACATGGGTCAGAATAACCCCTTCCCCCAACCACTCTCTCTTCCAACTCTCCTGGACACTTCTGACACCCCTAGACCTCATTTCCAGTGCTGATACTGATACCCAAGCAAGCTTTGTCTGACACCCTATTAATCAGAGACAGACCTGACCCTATTCTCTCAAAGACCAGTTCCGCCCCAGGACTGTGTTTCTTTCCTGTGGCTTAGCAGAGGACCAGCTTTTCCTTTGCAGAGGCCTAAAGCACATCTTGAATTCTAAGACCTCACTGCACTGCTAGACCCACCAGGGTCTCTGTCACAGCTCAGTAGAGGCAGTTCTTGCCATCTACCCCCAACATTGGCCTGGTAGAGACCTGCTCAGCACCTCGAGTCAGGTGGATCAGTGACTTCCAAAGTGGATCTGAGACCACCCTGATTGGTACTCAGAAGGCTCTCAATAAAGACTGACTGAGTGGTCTTGTCAGTTTCCATTGCTCTAGCCCTGTTTGCCCACTCTGCAGGTTAGGAGAGTTGCGGGGGTGGGGGTTGGGGGGTGGGATGGGTGGCGGGGGTTCCCTGAGCCACAGCTAAGCAAACATACCCACAGACAAGGGCAGATTAGGTAGCAGCTCCTTTGTTCCCAGCCCCAGGAGAAAACCAGGGGAAGTACAAGTACTACAACCAGACTAATTACGCTCTGATGGGCAGAGCTCTGACAAGCAGCCAGCCCAGAGGGAAAAAGTAAAAGACTTCGCTGGTGCCTGCATGCTGGAGAGGCCCTTCTTAACTTCTTAGTAAAGGGGACACCTGTCCTACTCACAGAGGTGGCCACTGATGTGGGGTCAGAGGAGCTGACTAGAGGGATATAGAAGCCAGCTCGAAGGGGCTTGCCACTGACCAAAGATAGGATAACATGAGCATTAAAAAGAATGACTGAATATGTAAATATACTGAATATATAAAAATCAATGAGCCATGACAACATTTAAACTAATAGAGGAGGTCACCTCAAACCCACTAGGATGGCTACTATTTGAAAGAACAGAAAATAAGTGCTGGTGAGGATATGGAGAAACTGGAACACTTGGGCACTGTTGGTGGGAATATAAAATGGTGCATCTACTGTGGAAAATAGTACAGTGGTATCTCAGAAAATTAAACACAGAAGTACCATATGATCTAGCAATGCCACTTCTGGGTGTGTACCAAAAAGACTTAAAAGCAAGGTCTCAAAGAGATACACTTTTATGCTTATGTTCATAGCAACATTATTCACAATAGCTAAGAAGTGGAAATAACCCAAGTATCCATCAATGGATGAAAGGATAAATAAAATGTGGTATGTACACACAATGGAATATTATTCAGCCTTAAAAAAAGAAGGGACTTTTTTTTTTTTTTTGAGACAGGGTCTCTGATGCCCAGACTAGAGCGCAGTGGCATGATCTTGGCTCACCGCAGCCTCCACCTCCCAGGCTCAAGCAATTCTCCTGCCTCAGCCTCCTGAGTAGCTGGGATTATAGGCACGCACCACTACCACCTGGCTAATTTTTGTTTTTTGGTTTTCTGTTTTGTTTTTTTTGTTTTTTTTTTTTTAAATAGAGACAGGGTTTCACCATGATGGCCAGGCTGGTCTCGAACTCGTGACCTCAAATGATCCACCCACCTTAGCCACCCAAAGTGCTGGGCTTACAGGTGTGAGCCACCATGCCCGGCCAAAAAAGAAGGAGATTCTGACATATGCTACAACATAAATGAATCTTGAGGACATGCTAAATGGAAAAGCCAGTCACAAAAAGATAAATGCTGTGTGATTCCACTTGTATGAGATACCTAGAATAGTCAAACTCCTAGAGACAGAAAACATAAGGGTGGTTGCCAGGGCTTGGGAGGAGGAAGATAAATGGGAATTGTTTTTTGTTTGTTTCTTTTTTAAAACGAGTACAGGGTTTCAGTTTTGCAACATGAAGAGTTCTGGAGACTGGTTTCACAACAGTGTGAATATACTTAACATTAACACTACTGAACTGTACACATCAAAATGATTGTGATGGGAAATTTTACATTACGTGTATTTTACCACAATTTTTAAAAAATAGAAGAGGGACTCTTAGAACACCAATTGAGATTGTCAGGGTATCAACTCACAACTCTGAGAACTGTTAATTAAAAGAAACAAATTATCCCATTTTCCAACGTAAACTATATTTCAGAGTAACCAAATAGCCCTCACGGAAGCAAAAAATATACTTTATACAGAATTCTAGCTAATAAATGAGAAAGAAACAATAGAATTAGAAAAATATCCTTTGAAACTCAATAAAATTAGACTCAAGCAGTGATTACTGATGGATAATTAGGTAAAAGGTGGGGAGCTTTACAATGAAGGGATCAGAATATTATCACCTAAATTCACTCTCATTAATTCAGCATCATTAAAAGTGAAGACAATCAGGCACTTTGTGCCTCCTTAAGTTATGAAACAGGAAGAACGCAGCACCCTCCACCCCCACCCTCCATCAAAACTGACCTGAATCTAATCAAGTTTTTATTGCTTACTTCCAGTCTACAGGAAAAAATATGGGATATGGAGGAAAAAATTCCCTGCATGAGGAAGTAATCAGTAAAACTCAAAGTTCTGGAAAACTTAGGAAGCAATCAGTTA
The DNA here is from genome assembly GCF_000001405.40 of Homo sapiens. NCBI lineage: Eukaryota > Metazoa > Chordata > Mammalia > Primates > Hominidae > Homo > Homo sapiens. Next base: position 84,787,980 of record NC_000015.10, on the reverse strand, counting down.
AACCCAGAATTGTTCTGGAAAATGCTCAGAACACATGACCCAATTTCTTCAACAAGTCAATGGCATGAAAAGAGGGTGCCTACTAGGATGGAGTGGGAAGAGGTACTGTTCCAGACTGAGATATTTATGAAACATAAACAAACGTGATGTATAGCCCCATGTTCAGATCCTGACTCAAAATAATCCCAACTGTAAAAAGACATTTTTTGACATAACTGGAAAAATCTGAATATGAACTTGTAGTAGGTAATACTAAGGGACTGTTATTAATTGTGTTGGGTGGAATGACAATATCCATCTGGCTGACATCCTGCCCCAACAGCGTGGCTTGGAAAGCAAGAGGAAGGATGAAAGAACTCCCTGGGTCACTGCAGAGGGAGGCATGCTCCATTCAGGGGCAGACTCCCAGGAAGAAGATGGAAATCCCAAACCGATGCTGTTCCCACAGTCCCTGCTGTGGTGTGGAGCCCAACTATCTGTCCACCCCCTGCCCTGGACACATGGGCTGAAGCTAGATACTGTCCTGTGGAAAACCCAAGCCCAGCAGCCATCAAGCCTAGTTTTTAATCCCATAGCTCAGGGCTCACCCTTTCCCTGAGACTCAGAAGCCACAATGAGTGGCATGAGATTTTGTGAGGGATTTGGAGCTGGCTGAGAGAGGCCTGATAGCCTTCTGTGCACTCCTTCCCTTCCTGTCGGCGGGTGCTCTTCTCCAGCTCCCACTAGGGCAGAATGACACAGAGAGGATGTAAGATGAGAAAGGTGCCATGCCAGCCTGGGATCCTACACCCAGACCTCTGCCTACTCAAATTTTAGAAGATGCACAAGGAGGCGGGTGTGATGGCTCATGCCTGTAATCCCAGCACTTTGGGAGGCCGAGGCAGGTGGATCACTTGAGGTCCGAAGTTCAAGACCGGCCTGGGCAAACATGGCAAAACTCCATCTCTACTAAAAATACAAAAATTAGCCAGGCATGGTGGCGCACACCTGTAGTCGCAGCTACTCAGGAAGCTGAGGCAGGAGAATCACTTGAACCCAGGAGGCAGAGGCTGCAGTGGGCCGAGATCGCACCACTGCACTCCATCCTGGGCAACAAAGCAAGACTCCGTCTCACAAAAAAAAAAAAAAAAAAAAAAAAAGATACGTAAGGACCAGTGTGAAAAAATCCCAGGCCCAGGCATCAGACCTCCACTGCCATGGGGCCTCCTCATGGCCCCTTGACTCAGATAAAGTAAACCTGGCCCAACTCAACCATGCTGGGGCAGCAAGAACACTGAAGCCCCAGGGGAAGAGACCCAGAGTGCCCACACCCCATCTGACGCATCAGAAGAAAAATGCAAACTGAAACAGAGCAGGAGGAGATGAGAGGCCACAGTGGGATCCTATAGCACCTTCTGGCCCCTTTGGGGGGCTGAGTCCTCTGCAGAAGCCCTACAGGCCCGCCAAACTCAACCTCTGACCTCTACCCTAATATTTCCAAGACCAGCCTCATGCATAACAATGTCCTCTTCTTCAAACCCACTCTGCACTCTCATATTCCTTTGCTCCCTATACTCAAAACACCCTTGCCCCTCCTACTCCTCCAAACTCATCCTTGCAAGCCCAACTTAAATTTCACCTCCACACAGCATCTTCCTTACGCATGGAGTCATCGTGAATTAGTCCCTCTGGGGCACTCTGCGCAACTAAGTTTATAACCTTGGTTTAGCCCCACTCTCAGTTGGCCATATACTGTAGCTGTTTGGGTGGTGACCACTGCCCTTGCTAGGCCACTGTAAGCTCCTGAAGGTTAGACTCCCTTCTGCCGGCATCCCCTGGTTGGCATAGACCCCCAGCCCATGCACAGTGGGCACTCAGGGAACACATGCAAAGCTCAACAGCTACCAACACATGCACAGAACCCTGGCTGAACTGAAGCAAAAAGAGCTGTTTTACTTTCCTCCCAGGCCTCTGTAGCACCAGCTTAGGGAAGCACCATGAGGGGTGGGTCTGGCTATGTCATGAAGAGAACCACCTTCTGGAGGCCTCTTTCTTCAGAGAAACCACTAACACATAACATAGACACAGAAGGTGCCAAAGGGTATTCTCAGCGCAGAAGGCTTTTTTTTTTTTTTTAAATGAATCTCATCAAGCATAACCAAGAATCAAAACAAGCAGACAAGCACAGTTGCTTTCCTGGAGTGGTGAGAACGCAGTTGAAAGAAGGAGGCTCCATAAACCTCTGCCACAGGCCCCACATGTCTGTCCACTCTCCTTCCTCCTATCCCAGCCCTGCCATTGGCCCTACTGCAGTTTCCACAAAAGGACTCTGCAAGAACAGCTGTGTCACTGCAGGGCAGAACAACAACTTATTAAAGACACAGTTCTTTGGCTGGGGACAGTGGCTCACGCCTGTAATCCCAGCACTCTGGGAGGCTGAGGTGGGCAGATCACTTGAAGCCAGGAGTTCAAGAACAGCCTGGGCAACATGGTGAAACCCTGTCTCTACTAAAAATACAAAAATTAGCTAGGCGTGGTGGCACATGCCTGGAGTCCTAGCTACTTGGGAGGCTGAGGCATAAGAATCACTTGAACCCCAGAGGCAGAGGTTGTAGTGAACTGAGATCCCACCAGTGCACTCCAGCCTGGGTGACAGAGTGAGACTCCGTCTCAAGAAAAAAAAAAAAAAGACAAAGTTCTTAGAACAGACTGAGGTGCAGGGGCAGTGACTCAGCTATCTCTGTCCCCAAGTTCCTTGGTCACATGCTAAGACTGTGCTGACACCTGCCAGAGACCAGAGGGAGATCATCCAGTAAAGACCTATCTCGGGCCTGACACTGGGCCTTGACAGACCCTTTGAGGGGAAGTTGAGTGGAACACGGGACACGTCCGTAAATACACTTGCTAAATTAGGGTCTCACCTCAGTATGGGCAGGACACCTTTTCCAACAAACACCAAACACTAAATATTCAGGCAGACATCCTCTTCTAAGACTCATAAGATTCCACCACTGCCCCCATATCAATGAGCTTTCCTCTCCATGCCCAGTCATGGAACCTGTGTGAGCCAGGGGCCCGATACCCGTAACAGTGAGGGTCTGCTTACCAGCCCCTCTGTCTCCTCTGTTGTCCTCTGGAAATGTGCAGCCAGGACCATGTAGTCCCGCATCTGCTTGTGACATTCAAGACACTTGATTGAGTACCGGATGAGCCTCACAGGGTCTGGGTAGAGTGGCAAGGCTGGAGGAGGGGGACTGGCACTGCCCGAAGTGAGGCCATGTTTGGGAGAGGATGAAGGGGCTGGGGCTGCTGGTGCCGTGGAGTTCACAGGGGCCGACACGAACATTTGGTCCGCAGAGATAGGCTTCACCAGCAGCTGGGAACACTGCATGACGAGCCCCTTGCTCTTGTGGTCACGGGCGTGCCGGAGCAGGCTGCACTTGTTGAAGAAGAGCAGCGTCTTGGAGCACAGTGTGCACAGTACCTCAATGTGGACGCTCCGCCGGCCATAGTGCTGGCTCAGGCTCTTCTCTAAGGCAAATGCGTCTCCACACTCCAGGCAGCAGTACCCACTGGCCGGCACGTGGATCCTGCTGTCCGCAGGCGGGCTGAGATTTGGCGCATAGAGGGGCACGGGGTTGGAGCTGTGAAGGACCTTGTTGAAGACCTCTACAATCAGTGGGGCAGCCTTTTTCACCTGGTGGACCAGGGGCACCGACATTTGTGTAAGCTGTGGCTGGCTCCGTCTTTGCACTGAAGACTTGGCTGTCACTGATGCAGCAACACTGTGGGGGACGAGGTTCAGGTTGGCCAAGTGCACGGCTTTGGGCAGGAGGTTGGCAGGGGCCAGGGTGGATGCCTGCAGTGCTGTGCTCTGTTGCTTCTTGCCTGTCTGTGAGCCTGGGGCAGCCCCCTTTGGGACCCGGGGCCCAGAACTGCAGCTGGGAGATGACGAGTCACTGGCCTTTGTCATGCTCTCGTCCCCTTTCCTGGCCCCCTGGGGGCTCCCTGAATTTGTGCCTGCCTCAGGAAAGTGCTCTTCCACAGGCACCTCATCCCCTGGCATCTCGCTGGGGGCCTCTGCAATGGCGCTCCCTAGAGGTGACCCAACAGGGGACTTACTTGGATCATCAGGATCTGGCAGGATCCTTGTGACAGTCCGTTTGATTTCCCCTGATGATGTCTTAATGGTTTTGATTCTCACTTTGGGAATTGCTGGTGGGGAGCTGGCAGCCACAGACGGTGAGCCTTTGCTGCTGCTGTCACTGCAGATGCTACGAGGGCTGTCCGATGGCTTGATACTTTTTCTAGTGGCCTCCAGAGGGCTCCGGGGACTCTTTGGTGACTTGGGCATTTTGGGGCTACCTTTAGAACTCTCTTTAGTGGGCCCTGAGAGATCCTTTGTGTGGCCAGGCTGATCCTCCTTAGTGACACTAGCCACTCTTTTGGCCTGCAAGGCCACCAAGGCTGCCACACAAGAGGACAGCTTGGAATGAGCTGGCTTTAGACGCTGCCTAGGGGGGACTGATGAGCAGGTACCAAGCTCCCGGGCAAGCCCCTTGGACTCTCCAATACTGTTGCTAGGATGGCTGTTGAACTCCAAAGCTTCCCCGAAGAATCGAGTGGCATCCGGATCCTTGTGAGGTTCCACTGTGTTCTGCCCACTTTGCTCGTGTTCCTGCTGGCTCCCCAAGGGCAGGGGTTCTGGCTTGGGTTCTTTCTTACAAAAATGATCAAACATATGCAGCTCTGGAACCGGAAACTTAGCCAGAGCCTCCAGGACTGGGCCTCCCACAGCCCCGCACCCAAGAGGGGGTGGGAAATAACTGTCAGAGTGTTTGGGCTTTATCCCAAATCCGTTATCTTTGATGGGATCCTCAGGTTCTGGGCTGGAGATTGGACTGAACTGGTTGAAGGTGGGTAATGGCTCTGACTTGGGAGGCTCCAGTTTGCCAGGGAAACTCCTGGCACTGTCTCCATTCATAAAAGTAGAATCAAATTTCCCACAGTTGTGGGGATCTGGAGGCAGATCTGAGCCCCGGAATCCATTGTGTAGGAGACTGGGAGTAATGTGGTCTTTCTCCGCTTCAAATGACTCCTGGCGGCTGGTGTTCTTGACAATGACACTCACGGCCGGCACATCGGGGGCTGATCCTGAGTGAGACAAGGACACACTTTCATCCATACATATGCCTGGAGGTTTGAGGGGACTCTCATTCTCCTCACTGGGTGTCTGGATGGCCTCCTTGGCATCAAGGCTGGTGGGGTCTGGGATGTCAAAGGCAGCCAGAAGGTCATCAAAATCTGGGGTTTTCATATCCCCCATGGCTGGATGCTGGCAAGGGCTGTAACAGAAACAGAAAACAGAATCAGTGACCACCAGGGTCCCACTGGACCATCTTCACTACACACCCATCAAACTAATGCACACACAGCCAGCACACCCATGCAGAACCCCACATACTATGACAGGAAGCCACACACCTCAGTTTTACCCCAACAGGTTTCTAAAATGCTGGAGAGGTGGGGGCAGAGATGGAAAGAGTAGTGAAATGTAGCAACAAGCCTGCCTGGATGATCTTAAACCTCAGTACCTGGAAATTGGTGGCTGGTTATTACAAAGCCACAGAGAGTATACTCCTACCATACTCCCTCAGCTTCTCAGGGAATATCATCCCTCCACGATCATGTGCACTAGCAAAAAGCCACTTAGCACTTCCAGCCTTTAGAAAACTACTGATTAATACATGAAACCTGGCTATAACTTCTGCTAATTTACTCTTAGTAATTACTCACTAACTTTATATAACTTTGGGGTTTCTTTCTGCATAAATTCAATCAAATCCAAAATGATTTGCTATTTGTGTTGTCTCATGAATAAACTCTAGAAAATTATATCATCCCTAGGTATTTTTTCTCTGTTCAGCAGACACACTTGATTCCTTTTCACCCTAAAACTGTTATCAGTTGGTGAATGCTCCTCCATTAAACCTGAGGAACAGGGTGACTTGCAAAGTACCAACAGTTATCAAATTGGCCAAGTGACAGTTTGGGGGAAGCCTAAATTCTATTTTGACTAATATACAAAGAATAGGATAATAATTCTATTTTAAATTAATATACTTGTCTCCTTCATGATCTGGGAAAGCAGAGCTACAGAACTACTGCAACAGAGGAAACACAAGGCCCTAGAGAGACCTTCCATTAGGAAATTCTTATAAAACTCACACTTCAGATGAAACATGAAACTGGCTGGCTCAAACCTGCTGGAGGGAGAAGAAAAACCTCACCATCTCCCTTTAAGTCCTGCATCTGCTTCAGCATTCCAGGGCCTTTACTGGCTTAAGTGTTTCTTACGTCACATTTATGTTGAAAACCTTTCTGGATGCAGATTGGCACAATTCTTTCAGAAAGCAGTATGGTAGCTTCATAGAACCAGAAAAGTGGCAAACTTTAGGTCCAGGAACCCCACTTCCAGAAATTTATCCTAAGAACAAAAATTCTCAAAAACTACATGCAAAAGTATATGTTACAGCATTATTTAAAAAGCACAAAAGGGAGACATACACACAAAAATAATTTAAATGTCTAAGACCAAAAAAAAAAAAAAATACTTGATAGACTATAACGCAGTCATTAAAAATTCTCATTAAGGGCCCGTCGCAGTGGCTCTTGCCTATAATCCCAGCACTTTGGAAGGCCAAGGTGAGTGGATAGCTTGAGGTCAGGAGTTCAAGACCAGCCTGGCCAACATGATGAAACCCCATCTCTACTAAAAATACAAAAATCAGCCAGGCGTGGTGGTGGGCGCCTTAATCCCAGCTACTCCGGAGGCTGAGGCAGGAGAATCACTTGATCCCAGGAGGTGGAGGTTGCCATGAGTAGAGATCGCACCACTGCCCCCAGCCTGGGCGACAGAGTGAGCAACTCCATCTCAAAATAAATAAATAAATAAATAAATAATAAAAATTCTCATTATGAAATCTATATAGCAACAAGGAAAATTATTTATAATGTCAAGTTTAAAAAGACTAATACAAAAATGTTGTCAGACTATAACAATGTAAAACTACGCGTGCATTTGAGCCAAGATTTTTTAAAAAATGAAAATGATTACGCAGACTAGTGGAATTACTGTTGGGTTATTTTTTCAAAACTTTTTTAGGGGGCTGATAGATTGCTTTTATAATTTTTAAAGGAAAAATAACAACAACAACAACAACAACAACAAAACCCACTCAGAACCACAAGGCAGCAGGTGGCATAGCAGAGGTATATCTCTTACCACCCCGTGGGATCAACAGGTTTCCAGGTTTGGTTTCTTGCCCCACTCCCAACTCCCAGCAAAACACATCTGCCTGCATATGAGTTCTCACAGAAAATGAAAACTCACTCCCTCCCATTGGGAAGATATCTAATTATGGTAATAATAAAGTACAATACCAATTACCTAAACATGGGTTGGCAGAATACCCCACTGGAATGAGATACAAAGTTTTGAACAGAACGAATGTTTGTCTCTTGGAACAGGAGGTGTTGGAACCCATAAACAAGGGGAACATACTGGATGTCACTGAAAACAGTGGGCACTCAATACCAAGTGACCTACTAGGCAGGGTGATCATAACTATAAGGAAACTCCTGCATGATATTTGCTTTATAAGCTTCTTTTTAATTTCTTTTTTGTTCTTTCTTTCTTCTAAATGTCTAGGAAAGGCCAAGCGCAGTGGCTCACTCCTGTAATCCCAGCACTTTGGGAGGCTGAGGTAGGTGGATCACCTGAGGTCAGGAGTTTGAGACCAGCCTGGCCAACATAGTGAAATCTCATCTCTACTAAAAATACAAAAATTAGTTGGGTGTGGTGGCACACGCCTGTAGTACCATCTACTTGGGAGGCTGAAGCAGGAGAATCACTTGAACCCAGGAGGAGGAGGTTGCAGTGAGTCGAGATCTTGCCACTGCACTCCAGCCTGGGCAATAGACCAAGACTCCAACTCAAAAAAAAAAAAAAACAAAACTGTCTAGGAAAAAAAGATTGAGGGGAAAGGGCAGAATAGATTTTCCAGCTCTCATTAAGGAGCTGGAAAAAGCATGTGGGAGAAGAGGAGGAGAAGTTGATTGTGTGTCTAAGGATTAGCTGGGAGCCTGCTATTATCTAATATGAAGTTGCAGAGGCTTGAAGCAGAGAAAGATTAGATCAGAAGTAAAGCTCTCCTCATAGAGAAATCTCAGGGATTGACTGAGAATGGTCAGAAGTAAAGTAAGTATCTTTTGCTGGAAAATCAGAGCTAGTAAATAGTGTGAGAGCTCAATATTAGCAGCAGAAAAAAAAACTTTTATAGAGATTTTAGGTCAGGCACAGTAGCTCACACCTGTAATCTTAGCACTTTGGGAGGCCAAGGGAGGAGGATCACTTGAGCCCAGGAGTTTGAGAGTAGCCTGGGAAACATAGTAAGACTCTCTCTATTTTTAAAAAGAATAAGAAACATTAATAATAATAATAAATGTTTTAAATGCCAAAGCTGAAAGCCTTTAAAAGCCAAAGATCACATCCTGTTTTCTATTTAGCCCCAGTAAGAAAAACCAAAAACAGCAGCAATCAATAACTGTGAATAAGGTACTCTACCATGTACCTACATGTTTATATTTACTTGAACCTTGCTCTAAAGCATCACATTGTTTTTAAATAGAAATTAATCAAAATGTACCGTTATAAAAGCAAAAGAAGAAACTGTAAAGAAAAAGACAACCAATAAAAAAGTTCTATTTACCGAAAACCTGCCAGCACAAAGTTAAAAGGCAAACAACAAATCAAAAGGAATATTTGCAACATATAGTTATTATCATTAATATCTTAATTAAAACATAAAAAGCCCTTATAGAGGGACCTCCTCTTTCGGCTTTGGAGCCCCCCTCCCTCTGTCTCTCTACAAGGGAGTTTCTTCCTTCTGTCTTCTCCCTTCCTTCTTGCCTATTAAATGCTCCACTCCTTAAAACCACTCCACGTGTGTCCCTGTTGTTTTCTCTAAACCGGCATGAGGACCAAGAACCCTGGTGTTCCTCCACTCATCAGAGCCGTATCATTTTGGTTCATGGGCCAGGAAAAGAAATTCAATCATCAGACTGCAATCAAACTCCAAATGATGCTATAAACTGAACCACACATGCACACGCCATTCTTCCGAGGACCCTTAGATCAACCCCAGGAAGAGCCCTAGCTGCTGTTCTCCATTTGACGCCCCTTTTCAGCAGGAAGTAGCCAGAAAGAGTCATCGCCCAAAACCCCCTAACAGCAGTTAGTGTAGCATCTCCACAGGGGGAAATGTTGTAGGAAAAGGGGTCATTGGGAAGCCTTAAAGCATCTCAGGAAAAGTTTCTTGTAAAGCCCCGGCTCTTAGAGCCAGGCCAGCAACCTTTGATATGCAAGTCGGCCATTAGAAACTGGGTCCACCCAAACATGGAGATTCCCACGGCCTTCTTGCCCTTTCCCTACATGTTCCTGGCAACATGGCCAACCCCATATAACCTCACGAGTGTAGAACGTCGTGTCAACCTGCATTTGCATATTAAAAAGCTAGGGTGGGAGGGCCAGCTTTTTCTCGGGCTACGTGAATTACATGCCTAGTCAAACCAATCCCCTGAGCCCTATGCAAATCAAACACCGCCTCCTCCAGCCTCTGCATGTGTACCTGACTGGTATCCGTGGCAGGTAGGGACCTCCTCTTTCGGCTTTGGAGCCCCCCCTCCCTCTGTCTCCGTACGGGGGAGCGTCTTCCTTCTGTCTTCTCCCTTCCTTCTTGCCTATTAAACTCTCCGCTCCTTAAAACAAAAACAAAAACAAAAAGCCCTTACAAAGCAATAAGTAAAATATAAGCAACCCATTAGAAAAATGAGTGAGGGTGATGAGCAGGCAATTAAAAGAAGAAAGACAAATGGACAGACTAGAAAAAATACTCCAGAATGGAGTTACATTACAAGAATATTCCAAATGTTAAAAGTATCTAGGCCGGGCACGGTGGCTCACGCCTGTAATCCCAGCACTTTGGGAGGCCGAGGCGGGCGGATCACCAGGTCACGAGTTGGAGACTCCTGGCTAACACGGTGAAACCCCGTCTCTACTAAAAATACAAAAAAATTAGCCGGGCGTGGTGGTGGGCGCCTATAGTCCCAGCTACTCGGGAGGCTGAAGCAGGGGAATGGCGTAAACCCGGGAGGCGGAGCGTGCAGTGAGCTGAGATCGTGCCACCGCACTCCAGCCTGGGAGACAGAGCTAGACTCCATCTCAAAAAAAAAAAAAAAAAAAAAAAGTATCTCAACAGACGAAATTATTTTCTCTTTTGTTTATCTTCATTTTAAAATTATTCAAACTATGTTTCAAATTGTATTATTTACATAACTTCATTATTTTTAGCACTTTGGTGGTTATTATTTTCCCACAAGGTGGGATGACCGCTTGAGCCTAGGAGTTCAAGACCAACATAGTGAGACCCCATGCCTTTCTTTTTTTTTTCTTTTTTTTTTTTTTTGAGACGGAGTCTTGCCCTGTCACCCAGTCTGGAATGCAGTGGCGTGATCTCGGCTCACTGCAACCTCCACTTCCCGGGTTCCAGCAACTCTCCTGCTCAGCCTCCCAAGTAGTGGGGACTACAGACATGCATCACCACGCCCGTCTAATTTTTGTATTTTTAGTAGAGACGGGGTTTTGCCATGTTGGCCAGGCAGGTCTCAAACTCCTGACCTCAACTGATCCACCCACCTCAGCCTCCCAAAGTGCTGGGATTACAGGCGTGAGCAACTGCGCCCAGCCCCTCTTTTTTTTAAATGTAAAAATTTTTTTGATTATATTTTTAATATACAAAAAGGAAAAAAAATAGAAGAAACTAGGCAGGCCAAAAAATTTAAGGAGCTTCTTACAAAAGACTCTAAAAATAATATAACATTCTTTTCTTTCTTTTTTTTTCTCGCACTGTCTCCTGGGCTGGAGTGCAATGGCGTGATCTCAGCTCACTGCAACCTCCGCCTCCCAGGTTCAAGCGACTCTTCCAACCCAGTCTCCCGAGTAGCTGGGATTATAGGCACGCACCACCACACCCAGCTAATTTTTCTGTATTTTTAATAGAGACAGGGTTTCACCATGTTAGCCAGGGTGGCCTTGATCTCCTGACCTCGTATTCCACCGGCCTTGGCCGCCCAAAGTGCTGAGATTACAGGCGTGAGCTACCAGGTGTTTTGTTTTGTTTTGTTTTGAAACAGAGTCTTGCTCTGTCACCCAGGCTGGAGTGCAGTGGCATGATCTTGGCTCACTGCAACCTCCACCTCCCGGGTTAAAGGGATTCTTGTGCCTCAGCCTCCTGAGCAGCTGGGATTACAGATGTGTGCCACCATGCCCGGCTAATTTTTGTATCTCTAATAGAGATGGGGTTTCGCCATGTTGGCCAAGATGGTCTCAAACTTCTAGCCTCATGTGATCCACCCACCTTGGCCTCCCAAAGTGCTGGGGTTACAGGCATGAGCCACTGCACCCAGCCAAAAATCATTAATGTAAAATTCTTAAAGCACATCTGACATGGATCACCAGGGAAATGCTAGTTAGAAAATCAACAGAATAACTTAGTTAAAATAAAAGGTATAGTCAAAATAAAAAGTTTCAGCATACACCAGTATCTATAACCTGTTGGAAGCAGCAAGCCAAAGTTGAGAAGAGCAAACCACAGGCAGCTGCCTACCTTGCCTGGGGGCAGTCACTCAGGGACCAGAGCCATGTCCATGAACACCAGCCCAGGAACCATGGCCTGGCCTACAGAGCCTTTGTCAGAGGCTCACCCTGAAGCATCTGAACGAGCTAGATAGATCCAGACCTGGTAAGCTCACTGAGTGATCTAGAACAGCCTAGTCAAGAGGCAAGGCAGGATCACTGGTTTGGTGGCCTAGGCTGAGAGTAAATTTCACTCAAAGGTGAGATAGTGGAATTATGTAACAATATGAACAGTCCCCTTGGGGGTAAAGAACAACTCTAAGACTGGCAGATTGACAACTATACCCTCTCTCAGAATAAGTTTCTACCTAGGGAATATCTGGAAATATTTTTTAAAGATGAATATAAATTCATATTGTTTATTACAGAGTCTACTACTTTGCCCAGAAAATTTTACCAAACATTTAAGTAAACATATCAACTAGATGTGGGTAAGGAGCATCTTAGTTTTGAAAGGGCCTCAGCATGCCGAATCACCCTATTGGAATTATTTGAGGGTATAAAAACAATATGATTCGGCCGGGCGCAGTGGCTCATGCCTGTAATCCCAGCACTTCGGGAGGCCGAGGTGGGCAGATCACTTGAGGTCAGTTTGAGACCAGACTGGCCAATATAGCAAAACCTCATCTCTACTAAAAATACAAAAATTAACCAGGCATGGTGGTGTGCACCTGCAAACCCAGCTACTCAGGAGGCCGACGCAGGAGAATCTCTTGAATTCGGGAGGTGGAGGTTGCAGTGAGCTGAGATCGCGTCACTGCACTCCAGCCTGGGCAACAGAGCGAGACTCTGTCTCAAAAAAACAAAACAGAACAACAACAACAACAACAACAACAACACCCAGTATGATTAGCTGGATGCGGTGGCTCATGACTGTAATCCCAGTACTTTGGGAGGTTGAGGTGGGCAGATCGCTTGAGGTCAGGAGTTCGACACTAGCCTGGCCAACACAGTGAAACCCTGTCTCTACCAAAAATACAAAAATTAGCCAGGTATGGTGGCAGATGTCTGTAGTCTCAGCTACTTAGGAGGCTGAGACCGGAGAATCGCTTGAACCAGGGAGGCAGAGGTTGCAGTGAGCCAAGATTGCACCACTGTACTCCAGCCCAGGTGACAGAGCGAGACCCTATCTTAGGAAAAAAAAAGAAAAAGAAAAAGAAAACAGTGGCCAGGTGCTGGGACTCATGCCTGTAATCTCAGCACTTTGGGAGGCCAAGGCAGGTGGATCACCTGAGGTCAGGAGTTCAAGACCAGCCTGACCAACATGGCAAAACCCTGTCCCTACTAAAAATACAAAAACTAGCTGGGCGTGGTGGTGTACACCTGTAATCTCAGCTACTTGGGAGGCTGGGGCAGGAGAATTGCTTGAACCTGGGAGGCAGAGGTTACAGTGAGCCGAGATCACGCCATTGTACTCCAGCCTGAGCAACAGAGTGGACTCTGTCTCAAAAAACAAACAAACAAACAAACAAAAACCAGTATGATTATATATAATTATGGCAGAACTAGTAGACTAGTAGACAGAATTTCTACAGACTTTAAATGCTAAGATCCCACCAAAAAAAAAACAGAACAAAATAACAACTGACTTCCATAAAACTTGGGTGAATGTATGTTGTCTGTGTGCATCCGTAT